>NC_000011.10:4908484-5211515 GCF_000001405.40 Homo sapiens | reverse complement strand
AGCAGAAAAAGTAACTATTGAGTACTGGGAGATGAAATAATCTGTACGACAAACCCATGACATGTGTTTAGCTATGTAACAAACCATCGTGAGTCTTTAGCAGTTCTTTCCTCCCATTTTATTCTTCCTTGCTCCTCTTTCCACCTATTAGTCACATATCTTTTTATAGTTATAATCAGCTTGTTTTTAAGTCTAACAAAATGTTGTTTTATGCGCATTATGAAAGTAATTTAATGATTCTCTGTCCTTCTTTGTAATTTGATTTTATGCAACAAGCATTTATTGTGTTCCTATATAGTAAATATAAAAACTGTATATATGTTGGAGGTAAAAAATAATGACAATGTAATTTTTGCCCTCAAAATAATGTGAGCAATTTAGTCCTATGGCTCCTATTTGTTAAAGACATTCAGTTACTTCTGACAACCTGAATTGTTAATTTCTTTCTTTCTAGCTCTCTTTTTTTTTTTTTTGACAGGGTCTCGCTGTGTTGCCCAGGTTGGAGTGCAGTGGTACAATCTTTGCTCACTGCAATCTCCCCCTCCTTGGCTCAAGATATCCTTCCACCTCAGCCTCCCAAGTAGCTGGGACTACAGGCACGTAACACCATATTCGGCTACTTTTTAAAATTTTTTGTAGAGAGGGGTTTCTCCATGTTGCCCAAGCTGGTCTCCAACTCCTGAGCTCAAATCGTTCTCCCTCCGGCCTCGGCTGTGATTACAGGTGTGAGCCACTGTGCTTGGCCCAGACAACATGAACTGTTACTGTTATTTTCTAATCCTTCGAGGAACTCAAGTCCTATCTTGAAAACTAATTCAAAAGGTACTAACGAGATTAGGAAGTGCCCCGAGAGAGTGCATAGAGGAGAGGGTAGAAGTAAAGCTGGGTTTGCTTTGTTAGTGAAGGAATAAAATGCATCAGAGGGCCGACCTTCTCAGCCTCTGATAGGCCCTGAGCTGGGAGCTGCTAAGCCATCCTGCAGAGCAAGTGGGAGAAACAGAGGGCATTAGGTCAGACTTGGCAGATTCTGCTCCTTTTTCCCTTCCCTTTTCCCCATCCACTTGCTCATTCTGGATGGCAGGATTAGGCTTTATATTTCCCTACCATATTAGCTTGTGCACTTAAAGGAAGTTTAGATAGCCTTGACTCCATGGGGAAAAGGAAAAAGTACATTTAGTGGGGTGTGGGACTGTTGGATTATTAGATGTCTTGCATTTCTCTCATTCTGTTCCAGTTGAGGCCAGCTTGCTTCCCACTAGAAGAATAACTGTTCTCTTTATACAATTCCTAGTCAAGTAGGGGCAAAAAGTATTTTCATTTATTATTGTTTTTCTGGGATGTAGCCAGGAGCAATTTAAACTTGCTGGAGTGCAATTTCTTCAACTACAAATGAGAATAATAATAACAGGTCTACGAACTAATTGTAATAATACAGAACTAAATGTAAATATACAAAGGATAAATTCAAAATCTGGGCACATGCAGGCTGCTATAAGAGAAAACATCTATGATATTATAGGTTGACCAAATGACATTAAATTATAGTGGGGAGGTAAACAGGTTGGCAGTGTATTTTAAAGTTGAACATATGCATATTTTATGACCTAGCAATTTACAGAATATATATACAAAAATATATAAGAATCTTCATAGCAGCAATTTATATTATAGCCAAAAGCTAGAAGGTACTCAAATATCTATCAACTGTGGAGTCAATAAATATATTGTGGTATATACATAAAATAGAATGACATTCAGAAATGAAAAATCAACTACAGTCATACACTAGTATGAATGCAATTCACAAACATAATATTGAATAAAGTCAGACATAAGCAACACAGTATAATTCAATGTATACACACTTTTAAAAAAAGGGACATGAGTCAATCGTGATAAAAATGAATTATATCAGGATAATTATTAACTTTGGAGACAATTAGTGGAATGATAAAGAGTGAGCATATGTTTACTCTTTAATTTCCTATCTTATTAGTTGTTACATGGGTGTGTTCACCTTCCAAAAGTTAATTCAGCTGTGCATGTATAATTTGTGTACTTTTATATATGCATGCTGTACTTAAAATATTAAAATAAAAACTAAATTTAGAAACTAAACAATGGAAAAAAGTCAGACCATTTCTTTGCATTTCAAGAAGTGCATACTAACTGAGATATTACATTCTTAAATGGCTTTAGTCAATTAGGCTTTAAATTTCACCACTATATAAACATTTGCTTCTAAATCTAGGTAGACTGTCTTAACTTCCTGAAGAAGAGGGAAGAAATAATGAAAAAAGGAAAATAACAGAAATACCTAGAGGAGGGAAATAAAAAGCCTAGGAAAGCAACATGAAAAGATGGTGCTCTCTGGTACATCCTGTGCTTCCTGAGATGTTGTTATTCGTCTTTTACACACACTGTCTTGGGATGGGCATTAAGGTGTTGTAGCTACTCAGCTAGTAAGTAGCTGAGCTAAGATTCTTTCAATTCCAAAGTCAGCAGTGTCTTCACTACATGGTACTATGTCAAGAAAGAGAAACTCCACTAAAAAGAACTTCATTGCTCTCTGTTAGGGATACATTAACATTTTGGGACATGAAAAAAAAATGTTACAATAGCTTACAGGTCACCTCCACTTATATGACCTATGGACCTCTTAAACTCAGCGAGTTGAAAAGATAGTAAATTATCCTCCACTTCTTTCAGTTTCCTCTAATGCTTCCAAACTTGATGAATGGTTCACTCAGATTTCCAAGACAAAATTTTGTCAATCATTTTTGCCTTTACTCTCCACTCTCTTCTATCCCTTATATATATTTAATAATCAATTTCTCACAACTAGAATTATTATCATAAATACTGATAGCTTTTGAGTGGCAGATAATGAGCCGTTTTTATATATTATCATCATACCAACAATATTTTTAAAAATTGTGCAGCTAAGTGTTGAGCTAAAAATTATATACCTAAGAAATGACAAAACCAAGATTTGAAACCAGTTCTCACTGACCAGAAGATCATTCTTTCAGCTAAGGAGCTAATTACTGCGTTCCTTCATAGTTTTTTTTTTTCCTCTCAGGTATTCCCTGAAATATGCATTTTCTTGGTCCTACTCTACTCAAATTTCAAACCACTATTATTTCATGCCCTTCAATAACTTCTAACCGGTTCTATTTTCCTATTTGTGTCTTGCAACATGGGATAATAGGTTCTGGCATGAGACAGCCCGGGCTCTACTCTCAGGTCCATAAGTTAATAGCTTTGTTTTGAGGATAAGTTACTTCTCTATGCCTTACATTCCTCAATAATAAATTAAGAGCTATAATGGAATCTACTTTATAAATTTCTTATAGTGAGTAAATTAACATAAATTCCTTCGAAAAATGACAAACCAAATAAGTTCCCAGTAAATATTAACTTTTTATCATGATGATCATGGTGATATTAATAATAAAACTAAAATTATAATTTTTTTCTTCACCTATAGCCACAGTCAGCTTCTCAAAGACAAATATGATTATGCCTCACCTTTTTATGATCTAATAGCTACTAATTTCTCCACGCTGACGTTTACCACAGAACCTGGACATAGGTGTTGCACACACTATGATCTCTAATAAATAAATAAAATAAATAAAACAGAAAAAAAACGATACAAAGGGTATGAAGGATTGAGTGAATATGTTATATGCTACGGCACCAGTGGTCTTTCTGGGTATTGTACACTTGCCCCATTCTAGGACAATGGTTCCTTCTGATTAGTTACCTTTTCCAGTCTGAGAGACATGCCTGGCTCACACCTGATTTGTAAGGCAATGGAGATGGAGACACTCTTATATCCAAAAGTACATAGCTCCGGTAGCTTAGATAATAAACCTTTGTCACCTCTAGAGAATTCTAAAAATCCACAGATTTAGAAATTCTAGGAATCCAAGAAATTACAATTTTAGATCTACTACAATTTCACAATATAACAATAACCAATAAACACGGACATTTTATTTACATAAATAAAAGATGGGTTTGTCACACAATTTAAAAATCTAGGGTCGAAAGCCACAGCAAAGGCAACCTCCTGGCACTATATCACAATAGATGACACCTGCATAGAGAAAGCAAAGTGGTCATGTTAGTCACTGATTGCCTCAAATAATCCCTGTGGGGATGTCTACTCTTTTGTATTCCATCAGCTTTTTTCCCAGTAACAACACATCCTAGCAATAATATCCTGACGAGTTTCTATAAAAAAAAAAAACTCCCCTCCTAAGATACAGTATCTTTGTGGTTGCATCCCCAGCCATCCCTCATTTGGTTGAGGTTGGAATTTCAATGGGTGGGTTGAATTTTTCCCTAAACAAACTTGCCATGGTAAAATCAAGGCTAGCATTACTGTTCACACAAGGCACTGTGCTAAGATCCCCATCCTTATAGCAATGGGAGGGCTCATAGGCAAGTCATGTCATGCAGAGGCCATTTCATCATCCCTTCTTGTCTTTGGGGACTTGGGTCTCTCCGGTTGTATAGGAGATTTCGCCAGGCATTTGAATCCTTCACTGCTAGTCATCCTGGACTCTGTGGTGTACAATATCCATCTCTCCTATGTTCTGAGGTCAGAATGACCTCTCTCTTAACCAGTTGTCTGGGCCCAGGCTCCATTATTGATATAGTCATGATCTCCTCTGTTGGGGATGAAGTAGGCAAATTTGAGGCACTAATTTACTTCTCACATTCTTTTCTTGAACAGAAAGATAGAACTGGAAATTAATAGTAGTATATAAATTCAAAATTTTAGCTTTAATAACATTTAATCAGACATAAATAATTATGGTAATGTGAATTTCAATAAATAAATTTTAGTTCTAATATAAGTGTAACTGTGTAATATTCATACTTTTTCTGAAGGCTTTACTAATTTGATATGGCATTACTTTTTTATTGCTGCCAAAACTATTCTTATTCCACTGTGTGGTGATGAGAAAGTGAGAGATGTTCTGGAGATGGTGATTATAGATAGCTTCCCTGAAGCCATAGTAACCCCCTGGAGAAAAATTGGACCTGGAGTCTAGCAGCCTAGGTATGGGTACTCGATTTCTTAGAAAGCCTTTACAATTTCCTTTATCTTAAAAATAAGGGTATTGAAGTAGAATTCTAGAATTTTCAGAGGACAACTTAAAATATGTGTAATAGTTTTAATTATTTATCCTCATAAATTTAACTGTTCATTTTAATATATTTAAGGATGAATTTTTTAAAAAGTTGATTTCATAAAAACGGGAATAGAAAGATGGTTCCATAGGCTGACTGAGAGTGTAGAGGAGGGATGGGAAGGGAAAGAAGTTGATCTTCAGTTAGACTAGAGGAATAAGTTTTAGTGATCTCTCACACTGCATAGTGAACACAGTTAATAATATATTATGTATTTAAATTAAAAATTGCTAAAAAATAAATATTTTATGTTCTCACCACAAAAAAAGTTGGAAGGTGATTCATATGCTAATTAGCTTGATAGACTCTCTCTACAATGTATATATAGATCAAACATCACATTGTATCCCATAACATATTATATATATTATATATTTATATTATATATTATTATTGTATCCATTAATATATGCACTTATTATTTGCCAGGCAAATAAAAAATGTTTTTAAAATATAAATTTATTTGTAACCTCCTTTTACTTTTCTGCTTGGTTTTCTTCTTTCATTCAGTGTTTACCAGTTTCTTATAGTTAATTTTATTTTAAGCTGTCTCACATTTTCTGAAGAAAAGGGAACATATTAAAGCCAACAAAACAAATACACTATCTTGCATGAGATGATTTATGTCATGGTACAATCAAATGCTATAAATCTTATAAAAACTTCTCAAATGGTTAGATGGCTACAGTTGAACAGATGGACCATGTCATATATTTTTTATAATGCTTCTAAGGTATGGCTAATTTTTAAAAAATATTTTAGTAATGATGGGAATATTATTTATAGAAATCTTATAAAATATATAATGAAATATGTAATAAAGTCTAGATAAATGTGTATATACATAATATATATTTATTACATAATATATAATATATAATGTATATTTATATATTACATGCATTATATATTAAATATAATACATTTTATATATTATATATTAAAATATGTAATAATATGTTATTAAATATATACAATAATCTATTACATTTTATGCTTATATAATATATAATAAATATATAGTATATAATAAATATACACTATATATTTGTATCTATATATGTTTATAAAGTCATTCCTCTAATTAGGTCATAACCATTCAGGTAAACTGGAAATTTAAGCCTACTTCAGGTTTGTGGTAAATAGATTCTCTCTGAACTAGCATATTCAGAATCATTAAACAGTCAGTTCTTTGGACAAGTCTTATAGAATGTTCTTACCTCTTCAGCCATCCCAAGACTCTTGAGGGCCTGACCTCGCTTACACTAAAGCAGATCTGCCTTATGCATCACTGAAGTAGGGAGGGAAGAAAGTTTGATGAACTACTTCTGACCCCTAGTGGTGTCCAGAAAAGACCATTAAAGGAATGACCTTTAAAGGATGGACATACAATTTTTTGTCCAAGGCAGGACATGTGTGGGTGTCTTTCAGTAATTATGTTCTAAGAACAGCAAAAACTCCACTGCCTTGGCAAATAGGAATGTTTTAGTTCTATAGAATTATAAAGAAGCTGTCTTTTAAACACAATATACTTTCTCTATGTCTTTGGAACAATGACTATTGGTCATTACCCTATTTTAAAGTAAGCAAGTAATCACACAGGGAATTATTCTGAAAAGACAGAAAAAAAAAAAAAACCAAGAGATTTCTGCATATGTAGGTCAGTTTTAATCAGAGGGCATCAGAAAAGACTCCTGAAAGAATGACCTGGTTATTATAATCACAGATTTGCTTTCCAAGTCAACATTCCAGACAGTGCTCAGAGGGGATACGAAAACCCTTTTATTTCTCCAGACTCAAATTCACTGCTATTTGTCTTCTCTATTTATTTTATTATAGGCATTGTTCTGGTTGCTGGGAACTCAGACTGAGATACCATACACTGACTCTCAGATAGCATAACACAACATGATGTCTTGGAAAACTGTAAATCTTTTTGTTTTTTAAATACAGGTGGAGCATCTGGCACACCTGACATATTGATCTTGTTTTTCTTTAAATCTTCATTTATTTACCTTATCAAAACTATGCTCTTTCATCCTACCTTTCAAAACATATTTTAAAAAATCCTCCAACATGTATTTTGCTCTGGTAATCCCAAAAGGCTGATAGTCTCTATGGTGGCAACATGGATAATACTGTTCCCCATCTAGATGGTCTCATTTCTTCTGTATCTAGTCTGAAGAAGCCTGAATGAAAGTAGATTTTTAAGCTTTGTAGCTAGTCTGAAGCCTTTGTAGTCAGTCTGAAGAAACCTGCATGAAAATAGATTTTTTTTTTCCTTTGGGACAGAGTCTTGCTCTGTCGCCCAGACTGGAGTGCAATGGCGCGATCTCGGCTCACTGCAACTTCCACCTCCCAGGATCAAGCAATTCTCCTGCCTCAGTCTCCCAAGTAACTGGGATTACAGGAGCACACTGCCATGCCCAGCTAATTATTTTTGTGTTTTAGTAGAGACAGGGTTTCACCATTTTGCCCAGGTTGGTCTCCAACTCCTGAGCTCAGCCAATCCACCTGCCTCGGCCTCCCAAAGTGCTAGGATTACAGGCGTGAGCCACCAAGCCTGGCTGAAAGTAGATACTTTTAACACATACCTACATTCACAGAATATTAAATCTTTTGTGATCAATCCCAGATCCTTGACGATATGTCTGAGTCAGGCTGGAAATGAGAGAAATCATGTTTGAAATTGGAGTGTTGTATTCAAGGTCAGCAAGATCCCTGGAGCAGCATCTGTTTTATAAACCATTCAAACTTGGTATATGATGACTCAATTGGTGGCCAAAGGTCAGAAAAGACTAAGTGTACACAGATGATTTTACACACACTTTGATAGGAGTGTTCACATTCATATTATCTTTATATCTCTGTGATTGTCTAGCTCTTATTTCATAGAATAATTAATTAAAAATTATTTGATAAGTGCCCATTCTATGCTAACCCTTATTTTTCATATTCTTGAGCAAAAAACAGATATGGTTCCTAATCTTCTACAGCCTCTAATGAATCTAATGGAAATTCAGTGTATAATAAGTGGTATAAATATAAACTAGTATACTGTGATGAGAGTAAGTTAGTTAAGGGGGTTGAAGAAATGAGATAATCTAGGTGGGGAGCAGTATTAGAAAAATCCCCCTGAGGAAGTAATCATTTTAACTCAAAAGTTAATGGTGAAAGGAATTGCTGTGCAAATACTTGGGGTAGATAATTCGGAGCACAGAGAAGACCATGGGCAAAGATCCTGAGACATGCATGTACTTAGCTTGTTTTGAGGAAGATAAAGATACCTAAATATTAAGGAGTGTAGGCAGTAGTGGTCTAAAGATGTAATAGAAGAGGCAGGTGAGCCACGTTATACAAGGCTTTTTGACTATGATAAAGAATTTGTATTTTACATTACGAGCAATGGGTAAGTGACCATCAAAGAGTTTTTTCAACAAAGGTTTGTGTGATTTAGTAGATGTTTGTAGAAAAGCAATTTGGTTTCCCTGGAGATAATACATTTTTTAGAGGACAAACAGATAAATCATGATATTAGCTAGTAATAATATTAAATTATTATTAATTTAATAAATTATCATAGTAGCCAGGGAAACAATGATATTATAAACCAAGACGGGCAATGTGTAAAAGTGGGCCTATCTGGGATGTGTTTCTGGTAGAAATGGTAGAAATTGATGAAAGATTTGATGGAGAGAGGAAAGGGAAGGAAAGAGAGAAATAAAAAATTTTAAAAATGACTCAAGACTTGTCTTATGCAATTGTGTTATTGGTGGAGTCACTTTATAATATTAGGAGAAAAGGGACAGAAAATAGATTTTGGGGGGAAAATCAAGTACTTTATTGGCATCATTCTTATTTTAAGATTAAACACTCAGATGAATATATTAAATAGCCAGTTGTATTCATGAATTTGAGCTCTCAGGAGTGGTCAGGAATCAGAGGTGCAAATGTTAGTTTCAAATAATAAGAAAAAGTTGACATAGTCTGCACATTAAGGAACTGAGAATTTAGTTTGTAACAGAGATATTAGTTAAATATTTAGTTTAAATATTAGTTAAATATTTAGCTAATAAATACAAAATTATAAGTTTTATTTAAAATTGAAACATGATACCAAAATAATAGATATATGGATAAATTTGTCTTAAGAAACTTCTTGAAAAGTGATTGTTGAGTTGCAAGATCGTTTTAAAAAGGGTAGGAAGAAATTGAGGAAAAGATGATGAATAATTTAGGCAGATAGAACATTTCGAGAAAAATTTTACGAAAGAAGAGAAATTCGATTTAGAGAAATGAAAGAAGATACGTATTCAAAAGACTGAAAAATCCTCTGCAAGAAACGAAGAAACTTCAAGCATTCTATGGAGAAAAAAGTATTAAAAATAGTGAGCTAAGTTATTCAATGCTGAGAAGGAGTCAGGGCAAGAAAAACAATGGTTAGACTGCTAGAAGACGTCAGTGTAGTATAGAGAGTACATTGAGAAGAAAGTCTGTGGAACTGTGTTGTGAGGCTAATAAGACAAAGCTGAAAAGTAGGACATAAAGGGCAGCCCAAATCTGAAGTTACTTTAACATCTCGAAGTTACTCAATCAAACATGAAAGTATGGACTTTTGAACATCTGTTTACATTATTAGAGCTTTAAAAAAACTTATGATGATTCTCAGGTCTGGAACTTAAAGCAGGCAAACAATGTAAAGAAGAAGCCAATTGATTCTGCTACCATGAGGCTTTTGAAATTATAAGCTTGCTTGTTTGAGCCTGGCTTTGTGATCTGTAGAACTGCAGGTTCTAAGAAAGAAAACACAATTGGCCAATACATTGAATAAATGTATATTGAATAAATAGTTAATCAGCTCATTAACTGAATAAATAAAGGAATGGGAAGCACTGAGCTGCTATCAAAGGCTCAGTGTCTTCAATCTAATTCTCTACATCACAAAGGCACAAATGAGTTGAACATCTCAAGAGGCCAGAGCTCCAGTGAGAAATCATTTACCCAAGGTCTCATGCATAAATATTCCTGTCTGCTTATCACCAATGAAGAAAAAGTAATTGCTGGCTACGTCATCTGGAGGGGGAGAAAACAGGAGTATCTTCATTAAATAGTATTTGGAGAAAAAATATACTTGGAGACGGCACAAAATGGAAAATGACGGAAAAGTGACTATTTAATAGACTTATGATATTTAAAGCCCAAAGATTACTCTTCACTTCGAATGTTTAATGAATTGGAGAGAAGAAAATAATTTTTCAAGAACCTCGGCTCTTTACTGGTATAAAATTTTTACCACTATCCTTGGGAAAATGTCTAAGCAACGTATTTTTTTAAAACTAGCCTTCTCCTTTTACTAATCTCTTCCTTATTTGTTTTTGCTTATGGCTTCTAAGGATATGTTCACATCCAGACAGTGAAAAAATAATGACTTTTAAATGACATCAAAAGAAGACCATTTTCTCAAAGGCAATGGATACTATGTCTCAAAGAAACAGAATTTCTCAGCTGTTTTTTTTAAGTCAGTAAGTTTTAGGGTATTTCATTTACTTAGAAATTTCATTGTATTCAGGTGAAATTGAAACATTTCCTTTGAAAAAATACTCTCACATGTTTCTCAGTTCCAGAATGATTACTTCAGTAAGCCCTAGCACCAGCACGAATTCTTCCTTTCTTCTCACTGGATTTTCTGGCATGGAGCAGCAATACCCCTGGCTTTCCATCCCCTTCTCCTCAATCTATGCCATGGTGCTTTTGGGCAATTGCATGGTTCTCCATGTGATATGGACTGAGCCAAGCCTGCACCAGCCTATGTTTTACTTCCTGTCCATGCTGGCCCTCACTGACCTGTGCATGGGGCTGTCCACTGTGTACACAGTGCTGGGGATCCTGTGGGGGATCATTCGAGAGATCAGCTTGGATTCCTGCATTGCCCAGTCCTATTTCATCCATGGTCTGTCCTTCATGGAGTCCTCTGTCCTCCTCACTATGGCCTTTGACCGGTACATTGCAATTTGCAATCCACTACGTTATTCCTCCATCCTGACTAATTCCAGAATTATCAAAATTGGGCTCACTATAATAGGTAGGAGTTTTTTCTTTATTACACCCCCCATCATCTGTCTGAAATTTTTTAATTACTGTCATTTCCACATCCTTTCTCACTCTTTCTGCCTGCACCAGGATCTTCTCCGCTTAGCCTGTTCAGACATCCGATTCAATAGTTACTATGCCCTGATGCTGGTTATTTGCATACTGTTGTTGGATGCTATACTCATCCTTTTCTCCTACATCCTGATTCTTAAGTCAGTCCTGGCAGTTGCCTCTCAGGAAGAGAGGCATAAATTATTTCAGACCTGCATCTCCCACATCTGTGCTGTCCTTGTGTTCTACATCCCTATCATTAGCCTCACAATGGTGCACCGTTTTGGCAAGCACCTTTCCCCCGTGGCCCACGTTCTCATTGGCAACATCTACATCCTTTTCCCACCTTTAATGAATCCCATCATCTACAGTGTCAAGACCCAACAGATTCATACCAGAATGCTTAGACTCTTTTCTCTGAAAAGATATTGAGAGATATTGAGATGTATTGCCTAAAAAAAAGAAAGAAAAGCAGCAACAATAATAAACAAAAATCAGTGCCATAAAAAAGAAAAAATTATTAAAATTGTAGATTTACTCTGAGTCCATGACAAATGACCTTAAAAAATATTTAAATATAGTCAGAGAATCAACAAACAAGTTCCATTGTGTCAGCCTGGACACATGTAGGTCACTCTATCAGTCTGACCATATTTAAGAAAGAGGAAAAAATTGTTTATTTGCCTGAAATGTACTTTTGAGCATTTCCTTTGCTGTAAAACAAAGCTGGATTAAAAACCTAGGTTTTCAAGTTTCAAAGTAGAAAACTTGAAGTTTCTTTCATTCTCTGAGGTTTACTTAATTAACCTTCAAAATGGAGACTATAGCCAACTCACAGGAATGTTGTGATATCTGTATGGACCAGAATTGTCCAAGGGAACTTTTCTAAACTGATGGCGATGTTCTATAAAATACCATAAAATGGCTAAAGTGGAATATATGGCTCCTGTGCGCTTGAAATGATGGTAGTGTAATTGAACAACTGCATTTACAATTTCAGTTACTTTAAGTTAATTTATATTTAAATGTTTAATGTCCTTGTATTGGACAGTTCAGTTCAGCAGCCACTATATTGGACAGGGAAGCTACAGTTCATAAAGAGGACACAAAGAAATATGACTTTGGATTCAACTTCTACCATGTCTAATTTAAATTAGAATCCTTATTTTTTAGATTTTATATGTGGACTCCACTGCTACAAGGCTGGAAGCAGATTTTGCTCTAGATCTTTTGCTTTTATATCTAAGTGGGGGATCTTCTGAACAGATGAGACTGTCCGCTACCGACTTATTCTGAGTTTAAAAGAAAAAAGATAAAAGAACATAAAGCGGTTCTTTTCTAAGTAAGCTAGTGCAGCTTTCCAAAGAAGGAAAGAAAGGAAGGAAATCAGGTACAAAACTATGCATGGATAACAAGAAAATAATTGTTTTAATCTTCCTATATTCTATTAGGTATCTAAGAAGGTAAGTGTTAAAATTGGACAAATTAATGCATAAGAGTCATTTTACACCAAAAAGCAAATATTTATTTTTATTTTTAGATATCAACTAAAACAACCAGATTTGTCTTCCTGTAATTATGCCTTCCTTTCCTTTCACTTTGGACTTCATTCAATAACATAGCCTCTGTCTACTTATTTGACTCAGAGGGAAACAAAAATACAGGCTTTGGTTTCTAATAGCTTAAGCCTCAAAGTGAGGAAATTGTTTCTGGACAGAGTAAAGTATCTGGTTAGAAAGATAAGTGTAAAATTATTCCTAGAACAATAAATTAGGTCTTCTGGGTTACAGTATAAGGTTAATTTGAAGGATAAAGGAGTGAATTTCCTGATGTCAAAGAGGATCTAGTGCATCTTCTGGTATAGCTATCAGAAGTGAAAACTGTGAGGTAGGTTCTAGAGGGGAAAATGTCAATATATATATTTTTTACTATATAATCATAGTAGCTGCCGAGGCGGGCGGATCATGAGGTCAGGAGATCGAGACCATCCTGGCCAGCAATGGTGAAACCCCGTCTCTACTAAAAAAACACAAGAAAGTATCCAGGCGTGGTGGCGGGCACCTGTAGTCCCAGGTACTCGGGAGGCTGAGACAGGAGAATGGCGTGAACCCGGGAGGTGGAGCTTGCAGTGAGTCGAGATCACGCCACTGCACTCCAGCCTGGGCGACAGAGAGAGACTCTGTCTCAAAAAAAAAAAAAAAAAGAGAAAAAAAAAGAAAAGTTGATATGAATGTCAGGTGGTAGTACTGCTCCAGGTTCCCTAATGATAATAAATGTCTGCATGGTCCCTCCTGGCCGACTGGAATGTGGCCAATCTGACAAGATTCCTATGCCCCAGTTTTATAATGAAAAGAGAAGTTAGCTGCTGAATCTGTAGAGGTCATGTGAATGTCTCATAGATTTCTCAATGGCCAAAGAAGCTTCCTTCTAATGCTTTGAAAGTGAATAAGCATCCACCCTCCCATACGCCGGAGAGCTGACACAACACTGGGGAAGCAGAGAATTCTTCAACAACTGACAATATGTTTTCCACCAGCCACTCATAGGGAAGCATCAGAATGAATTTATATTTATTATTTGAACAATATTACATGTCTGACACAACTGAGTTGTTGGTTTGAGAGTTATGTTTAACAGGGAGAGTAGGAAGGCTCATCTGAAGACTTCATACTATGAGTGTTTGTGCTTCAGATTAGGCAACCTATAGAATGTGAACCAAAATAGTTTGAAATAATGGCCGTGACAAAACAGTTAATAAAAAATACCTAAGAGTATCCTCAGAAATCATTGCTTATTTTAGAGCTATATAATTGTACTATGATGATAAGATTTATGAAGAACTTCAGAATCTTTACAATTCAGCCAAAGGGAGGAAAATCAGTAAAAAAAAAAAAAAAAAGCCAATGAAAGTAAACTTTATATGATTACTGGGCTTTATACAGAAAGAAACAGGTTTAGAACATTAGTAGTTTAGATTGTTTGTTTTGCAAAGGCCTCTATCTGGAAGCAATTACTTAAAAAAATAACTAAACCTCTCCTGAGGAAGAAAAGGCAATTTCAGAGACATCAGCCCAGGTCCTGAAAGGAAGAGCAGATGGAGACATCACAGGTGTTTAAAACACTGTCTGTTTTGAAAAGCTACATAGTAGCCAGGTGGAGACATTTTTCCATATATCTCAAAAAGCCAGCTTCTAAGGAAACTTGTTTTCCATGAATTAGGCAACAACAGCTGAAACTGTTGTTGATGTGGTAGCCTGCAGAGCCAGTGAGAAGCAGTTATCAGATTCCTTTGTAAGGCCTGCAAGGCTACTATCCAGCGTCACTGAGAAACGTTACGAAAACAGCCACAGTGATGTTAGGGAAACACAGTTCTCTTTTGCCTTTTTTTTTTTAATAGGTAGACTGTCATATCATTGTAACTGCTGCCTTAAATGAAGTCACGGTTATTATAATAAGGAGAAAACAAAAATATTGCCGAGAACAAGGTGACAAAAGTAAGATTCAGAAAATCAGAAAGTCTAGTCCATTCAATTGCTATTCATTTAACTCTTACACCGAAAAGCTAAGGTCCAGTGGGAGAAATCAGTGATTCTTAGAAGTGAGAGGACATGATTCAGGATTAGAAATGTGTTTTTAGTAAAAATGATCTGCTAATAATAAATCCACAGGCAGATGTTCACTGTACACCAGCAGTCTTCAATGTTTTTGGTACCAGGGACTGCTTTTGTGGAAGACAAGGTGCAGGAGGGCATGGTTTCAGGATGAAACTGTTCCACCTCAGAGCATTAGGCATTAGATTCTCATAAGAAGCCGCAACCTAGATCCCTTGCATGCCTCTATGAGAATCTAATGCCGCCACTGCCGATGTGACAGGAGGAGGAGCTCAGGCAGTAATGCTTGCTCATCCCCCTGCTGTGAGACCAGGTTCCTAGCAGGCCACGGACCAGTACTGGTAAGTGGCCAGGACTGCTCTACACTATACCTCCCTATTTTCCTAGGCTTATCAAAATCGTATTGTTAAACAGACTTAAGAGATGTTCTACTTGAGGTTGTGTCTCCATTCCCTAGGATATTTGTTACCATTACTTGCAGAAGATAATTGCTAGAGTAGTGAATAGAGGCCTCCAGATGAAGGAAATAAAAATAGTCCATTTTCCCAGAAGTCTCTTGCAGAAACTTAAAAATTAATGCCAACCTAGCCAAGAACACCCCTGCAGTAGGAGTCGATGTCCTAAAGCTTTTCCAGTAAAAGTGTGGTTTCTGCCCCTGCAGTCTTGGCACCATGTAATGGCACATAGAAAATGCAGGCTTTCAGGTTGCAGCCAGAACTGAGGAATCAATCGGTGTTTAGCTTTTGAGATGCTGGTAATGTTCTCTTTCTTGGTCTGAGTGTTTGTTAAAAGCTTTTGCTAATTTTGTGTCAATTTAACAAACTGTACTTTTATTTATGTATTTTTCTGTACTGAATAATAAAATATAAATTTAAGAAATATGAGTGAAAGTGTCAATTTACATATAAACCTGGCAGACTGAATATGTGTTCATTTCTGCTACTTTCTCTAATCCACTAAAGCTATAGATGTACACAGAGACACTGTGAAGAAAATAGCACAATATGTATGAACAAATTGATAAGTATATACATTTAAATATGATTTTTTAAAAAACAGAACAGGATAATCTGAAATCTATATGTCTACAGAAAAGGATACCAATGAGAAAAAACGTTATCTGCAAAGAGCATTTTCTGGAAAAACACAGAAATTACTTATAAAGCATTCGTGAGGGGTAGGGCTAAAAATGGTAGAAAAGGTGAATACCTGTTTAAGGTTGCCTAAAAGATAGCCAGGTACTCATTTCTCTTTAGTTCTGGCAAAATGATTAGTGTCTGTAGTAACCAAATCAATGATGATCCAGACACTGGGAAATTCAGTGCAAAGGATGCCAGGACTAAGGTGTAATATATGAAACAGAGAGATTATGCAAAAGAATACATATTGAATGATGATAAACTGTCTCAAGAGAAAGGACTAATAGATATTGGCATTTGAGTATTCGCTTACTGGATTAGCTAGGCTTCTTTCTGATCAGCCTTCAAAGTAACTGGCCAGATAACTAATTGTACCGTGTTCATAGAAATCCCCACTATACTCTTTTTAAAATTATTTTATTTTATTATTATTATACTTTAAGTTTTAGGGTACATGTGCACAATGTGCAGGTTAGTTACATATGTATACATGTGCCATGCTGGTGTGCTTCACCCATTAACTCATCATTTAGCATTAGGTATATCTCCTAATGCTATCCCTCCTCCCTCCCCCCACCCCACAACAGTCCCCAGAGTGTGATGTTCCCCTTCCTGTGTCCATGTGTTCTCATTGTTCAATTCCCACCTATGAGTGAGAACATGCAGTGTTTGGTTTTTCGTCCTTGCGATAGTTTACTGAGAATGATGATTTCCAATTTCATCCATGTCCCTACAAAGGACATGAACTCATCCTTTTTTATGGCTGCATAGTATTCCATGGTGTGTATGTGCCACATTTTCTTAATCCAGTCTATCATTGTTGGACATTTGGGTTGGTTCCAAGTCTTTGCTATTGTGAATAGTGCCGCAATAAATTGCATTTACAAACCTTTAGCTAGACATGAAAGTTCTCCAGTTCCATATTTCATGGTGAGGAACAAAGAATATGGTGGGGATCCCCACTATATTCTTTGTTCCTCACCATGAAATATGGAACTGGAGAACTTTCATGTCTAGCTAAAGGTTTGTAAATGCACCAATCAGCAATCTGTGTCTAACTCAAGGTTTGTAAATGCACCAATCAGTGCTCTGTGTCTAGCTAATCTAGTGGGGACTTGGAGAACTTTTGTGTCTAGCTAAAGGATTGTAAATGCACTAATCAGCACTCTGTGTCTAGCTCAAGGTTTGTAAATGCACCAATCAGCACTCTGCCAAAACGGACCAACCAGCTCTCTGTAAAATGGGCCAATCAGCTCTCTGTAAAATGGACCAATCAGCAGGATGTGGGTGGGGTCAGATAAGGAAATAAAGGCAGGCTGCCGGAGCCAGCTGTGACAACTGACTTGGGTTCCCTACCATGCTGTGGAAGCTTTGTTCTTTTATTCTTCACAATAAATCTTACTGCTGCTCACTCTTTGGATCCGCGCTGCCTTTATGAGCTGTAACACTCACTGCGAAGGTCTGCGGCTTCACTTCTGAAGCCAGCAAGACCACGAACCCAGCATGGGGGATGAACAACCCAAGACAGGAGGAATGAGCAACTCCATACGCTCCGCCTTTAAGAGCTGTAACACTCCCCGTGGGGGTCTGCAGCTTCACTCCTGGAGCCAGCAAGACCGTGAACACACCAGAAGGAAGAAACTCTGGACACATCTGAAGTAACAAACTTTGGACACACCATCCTTTGAACACACCATCTTTAAGAATTGTAACACTCACCACGAGGGTTCGCGGCTTCATTCTTTAAGTCAGCGAGACCAAGAACCCACCAATTCCGGACACAGAAGGATGGACAAAGATTATCAGGAATGCAATTAAGTCCACCAACACAAAAATTACATACCTAGAATCAATTTTAATAAAGAAAACTTATTTGGAGCACAGCTTATTCAGGGCAGAAAATAAAAGCTAATAATAAAAGAGGTGCATAATAAATATTCTTAATTAAATAACCACTCATTTTAGATCCTTGATATTTGAACAGAATAGTATAAAAAATAGAGGGCATGATAAATAGTAAATAAAGCAAAAATATGAGAGATGAGATGAAGTAGCCAATAAGGGGGACAGGAAGTAGATTTAAGAGTGCAGAAAAAAAGGACAAAGGAATAAATATGGGGGGCATGGAGGAAAAAATAGGGTGAAGTCAGGAACTCCAAAATCTTAACTGGAGTTCAGGAGAGAGTGAAAATAGAACATGTAGAAGGAACTTACTAGAGATCAATACAAGACAATTTTCTGAACAAAAGAACACAGCAGTTGAAATTGAGAGTATCCACAAAATACCCAGAACAAAATAAAATAAAATAAAAATTCATGGTAAGTTAAGAGAATGAAAAAAACAAGCCACAGAGAACATATTTGCAAAACATATTATCTGATAAAGGACTTGTATACATATTATACAAAGAACTTTTAAAATTCTACAATAAAAAACAAACAATCCAATTGCAAAGTGGGCAAAAGATCTGAACAGACACTTTACCAAAGAAGATATATAGATTGCAATAAGCACATGAAAATATACTCAGTAACACATGTCATTAAGAAACTGCACATTAAAACAAGAAGATACCAACCACTACACACATATTAGAAGGCCAAATTCCAAAATACTGACATCCACCAAACACTGGCAACGAAGTGGAGCAACAGTAACTCTCACTTATTGCTTGTAGGGATGAGAAATAGTGCAGCCAAATTGGAAGACAGTTTACAGTTTCTTACAAAACTAGTCTTTTCATGTGACCCAACAATCACACTCCTATGTATTTACCCAAATGAGTCAAAAATTTATGTCCACACACAGACATGAACTAACCAAGGTTTATAGGAACTTTACTCATAATTGCCAAAAGTTGAAAGTAACCAAGATGAATGGATAAACTGTGGAACATCCATAGGATAGAATATTATTCAGTGATATAAATAAAGGTCTATCAAGCTGTGAAAAGACATAAAGAGCTTTAATTGTATATTGCTTAATTCATTTTCTTTAATTATAGTCATCATTCTCTACATATTACTCCATTAACCTATTTTATCTTGCTGTTGAGAAACTTCCATTCCTATAGTCTTTCATATCCTTCTGTTCTGATTATTATTCCTCAAACAAATATAGATATTCAATAATAGACAAATAGTGAATAAAGTATGGTACATTCTTTGACTTAGTTTCAGACAGCTATTGCATAGAATGAAATAGATTAATATTTAATAACAGGTAATGTTATGATTTATTAAAAATAAGATGATAAATAAAAGATTTAGTATCTTCCCATGGAGATAACACACTTAGATACAGGTTTCATGTCACTTTGGACATGAGTAAAGAGGAGTAAAATGATTAACTCCCAAATCTTGATCACATTGAGTATCAAAGGAAGGAAGAAGAAAAAATTATTAATGGTGGCATTAAATATCATTTATTATTGGATGTGTTATTGGCATTGTATTGGCATGTTTTCACACTGCTGTAAAAAAATACCTGAGACTGGGTAATTTATAAAGAACAGAGGTTTAATTGGCTCAAAGTTCTTCAGGCTGTACAAGAAGCATGGCAGCATCTGCTCAGCTTCTAGGGAGACCTCAAGAAACTTACAATCATGGCAGAAGACAAAGCAGGAGCAAGTATCTTCACATGGCCAGGACAGGGAGAAGCAGGGTAGGAGGTGCTACACACTTTCAAACAACCAGCCTCTTGAGAACTCACTATACAGTACCAAGGGGGATGGTACTAAATCGCTGATGAGAACTCTGCCACCATGATTGAATTACCTCCCACAAGGCCCCACCTCCAACGCTGGTGATTATAATTTAACATGATATTTGGGTGGTGACACAGATCCAAACCATATCCTTCCACCTCTGGCCCCTTCCAAATCTCATGTTCTTCTCACATCACAAAATACAATCATTACTTCCCAACAGTCCTACAAAGTCTTAACTCATTCCAGCATTAACTCAAAAGTCCAAAGTCCAAAGTCTTATCCAAGACAAGGCAAGTCCCTTCAACCTATGAGCCTGTAAAATCAAAAACAAGTTAGTTACTTCCAAGACATAATGGAGGTACTGGCATTGGGTACAAATTCCCATTCCAAAAGAGAGAAATGCACCAAAAGAAAGGGGCTAAAGATCCCACACGAGTAGAAAACCCAGCAGGGCAGTCATTACACCTTGATATGGTTTGGCAGTTTTCCCACCCAAATTTCTTCTTGAATAGTAGGTCCCATAATCCCTGCCTGTCATGGAAGGAACACACTGGGATGTAATTGAATCATGGGGGTAGGTTTTTCACATGCTGTTCTCATGATAGTGAGTAAGTCTCACAAGATCTGATGGTTTTATAAAGGGCATTTCCCTTGCACATGCTCTCTTGCCTGCCACCATGTCAGATGTGACTTTGCTCCTCCTTCACCTTCCACCATGATTGTAAGGCCTCCCCAGCAATGTGGATCTATGAGTCCATTAAATCTCTTTTTCTTTATAAATTACCCAGTCTCGGGTATTTCTTCATAGCAGTTTAAAACGGACAAATACACACCTTAACACTCCAAAATAATCTCCTTTGACCCCATGTCTCATATCAGGGACACACTGATGCAAGAGGTGGGCTCCCAAGGCCTTGGGCAGTTCCACCCCTATTGCTTTGCACAGTTTAGCCCCTGCTGCTGCTCTTAAGAGATTGTATTGAGTGTTTGCAGCTTTTCTAGGTGCACGGTGCAAACTGTCAGTGGATCTACCATTCTGGGGTCTGGAGGACGGTGGCCCTTTTCTCATAGCTCTGCTAGGCAGTGCCCCAGTGGAGACTCTGTGAGGGGGTTCCAACCTCATATTTTTCCTCCACATTGCCCTATTAGAGGTTCTTCATGAGGGTTCTGCCCCTGCAGGAGGCTTCTGCCTGAACACTCAGGCTTTTCTACACATCCTCTGAAATCTAGGTGGAGGCTTACAAGCCTCAACTTTTTGACCTTTGCACACTCCCAGATTTATCACCATGTGGAAGCCTCCAAGGCTTATGTCTTGCACCCTCTGAAGCAGTGGCCTTAGCTGTTCTTGGGCCCCTTTGAGCCACAGCTGGTGCTGGAGCAGCCAGGATGCAAGGAACAGTGTCCTGAAGCTGCTCAAGGCAGCAGGGTCCTGAATCTCACCCACAAAATCATTCAGTACTCCTAGGCCACCAGGCCTGTGATGTGAGGGGCTGCTACAAGGGTCTCTGAAATGTCTTTGAGGCATTCTCCCCTTTATTTTGGCTATTAGAACTCGGCTCCTCTTCATTTATGCAAATTTCTACAGCCTGCTTGAATTGCTCCTTTGAAAATGAGCTTCTGTTTTCTACCACATGGCCGAGCAGATAATTTTCCAAACTTTTATGCTCTGCTTCCCTTTTAAATATAAGTTCTGATTTTATGTTATTTCTTTGCTCACACATATGAGCATAGGTTGTTAGAAGCAGCCAGGACACATCTTGAACACCTTGCTGCTTAGAAACTTCTGTCACATAACTTAAATAATATTATCAACTTCGAATTTCCACAGATTCTCTAAGGTAGAGGCACAGTGCAGTCAACCTCTTTGCTAATGTATAACAAAAGTGACCTTTGCTCCAGTTTCCAATAAATTCATTTCCATCTGAGACCACCTCAGCCTGGACTTCATTGTCCATATCACTATCAGAATTTTGGTCACAACCATTCCACAAGTCTCTAGAAAGTTCCAAATTCTCCCTCATCTCCCTGTCTTCTTCTGAGCCGTCCACACTCTTCCAACTTCTGCCTGTTATCCAATGCCAAAGTTGCTTCCACATTTTCATGTATCTTTATAGCAGTACCCCACTTTTGGTACCAATTTTCTGTACTGGTCCATTCTCATCTTGCTATAAGGAAATACCTGAGACTGGGTAAATGGTGAAGAACAGAGATTTAATTGGCTCACAGTTCTAAAGGCTGTACAGGAAGCATGGCAACGTCTGCTCAGCTTCTAGGGAGGTTTCAGGAAACTTATAATCATGGCAGAGAGAAAAACAGGAGCATGTGTCTTCACATGGCTGGAGCAGGAAGAAGAGGCAGGGAGGTAGTAAACAACCATATCTCATGAGAACTCACCCACTATACGTACCAAAAGGGACTGATATTAAGCTATTTATGATAACTCTGCTCCTATGATCCAATCACTTCCCACCAGGCCCCATCTTCAACACTGGGGATTACAGCTGAACATGAGATTAGGGTGGAGACACAGATCCAAACCATATCAGGCATGCATTACTCTTGTGATTAAACACAATTCAACAAAATACATAAAATGTAAGCAAAACACAACAACAAAACGATGAATTAAACTTTGTTTCTTTAATACAAGCAGTCGTATTGGCTTCTATACAAGTTTATCTCTGCACGACACACATATTATGATGTATTAGAAGGAAGATAAATGTCATCAAGCCTTATTAAGGCAGGTCCTGGTGTATCCTTCCTTAAAGAAAAGTATCTAATAACCTTACGTTAGCTAAACGAAGAGATAATATATTAGTAATTCTTCCCAGATAAAGATCATCTCTAAAGTAATTCACAAACTCCACCTGGAAAGAAGAGTGGCTATTGCTCAAGCTATTCTTCAATGTGGCAGGGGAAAAATCTTTGAAAAAGCTACAAGACTCTGCAAATATTGATTCCAACCACTGAGAAACTCTACAGCAGGGATGTCCAATCTTTTGGCTTCCCTGGGCCACACATAAAATATACTAACACTAATGACAGCTCATGAGCCAAAAAAAAAAAAAAATCACAAAATGTCCCATAAAATCTCATAATGTTTTAAGAAAGTTGTGTTGGATAGCATTCAAAGCCATCTTGGGATGCATGCAGCCCACGGGCCACAGGTTGGACAAGCTTGCTCTACAGCCTACAAACAAGGAAGAAATAAATTAATATTTCTGTTCTCTTTTCTGGCACCAACTCCCAGCTTTACTAGCACCAACTCCCAGCTTTACTAACTTACAAATGAGAAGAAACCAGGTGTCCAATTATGCCAAATTACTTGTTCGAAGAAAGGATCATCTGGAATTCTTTTCTTGGATTTCCTCCACTCAAGTCCCATAGTAAGATAAAGGCTTTCATTTAATTGTATCTTTTTCATTTTTTGGCTGAAGCACTAGCATCCAGGACACTAATTTACCTATAGAACAATTATCTAGACTCAATTAGAAGTATCTTACATATTGAAGCAGAGTTAGAGCTAAAATCTCAAGCAATCCAACATCCTTAATTTACAGATACTAAATCAGTAGCCAAAGCCATTTTTACTGCTATTTTGGTTAACAGGGCCACAATCATTTATCCATTTCCTTGAAATCCATAGAAATTTAAAAACTGAGTCTTTTAACAGCACAATCTGCTCTAAAGTGATGGCAATTTCTGACATGAACTTATGTGAGAATTTTTATAATCTTTATTTATTCTACATAATACTTACATGTTCCCTGCAAAAATATCTAGGTATATTAGATAATCATATAGATATATGATTATTAAGGGCATACCGAGATTCCAATGATATTGTTACTTGATGTCAATAATATTATATAACATTCATAAAAATTGGAAAATTATTTTTCTAAAGCATGTGGCTCAAAGACTGTAGACTTCTATAAGAAAACTAAACATATTAAATTAAACATATCAATAACTATTATTTCATCTGCATAGAATATTGCTGAAGGTGTGTTTTAAAGTAGTAACATGGTACTTGTATCACAGCAGCCGTAGTTTGGATCACTGCCCTCTTGCATATTATATTTATCAGAAATCATTATTTACTGAAAACATTTGCTCAAAAAAAAATTCTTCAAGTTTTAGAGTCCCCAGATTTAAAAACATTATAATAAGTTATCAGCAGAGTATACCTCTTGGATTCTATTCTTTGTTCTTCCTGTCACTATCAGGTAGTCAGATGCAGACATCAATTTCTGTTGTCCCCTAAATTCTCCTTGTCCTTTCTCCATCTCTTTTTCTATAATATCCTTTGATTCCTTTAATTTCTTTTCCAAGGATAGGTGGGAAGATAAGTACTGTCCTTTCTTTAATGTCTAAAAAAGCAAGGTGAAGCCATCCAATTTACCCTCACTATGGTTTCAAGACCTTTGAATGGAAAGCACTTGAAATGCATGTGATAATTCTTATATCTCCCACCATATAGCACTCACACTTACGTAATAAAATATGACCTCTCTTAGCCAGTGAGAACTAAGATGCCTAGATGACTGATTGGAGGACCTGGGCACTTGCCTAGCATCCAATCAAGATCATCCAGTCAGGGTCAGCTGATGTCAAACATCATATTTATAGGGAAGTTTTACTATTTTTTTTTACTAAGTTTTACTACTATAGGTGAAAAAAGCTTCTAGGGATTCTTTGAAAAATATCAGAAAATCACAGATATATGGAAGGCTCCACTTGAGAGAATAAGGAAACATCTCTCTCCATAAATCTGGCTTATCAGTGTGAAGCCAGTTTTTAATTCCATGAATATCATGGTATTTGTTTCTATCTTTTTATCTTCATCTGTATTCCTCATTAAAGTATCCTTCAAGAGAATGGGATATCTACAGTAGCTAATATAATTTCTTGGCCCTTCAGATTCTGACCCATTTACCATGTGACCAAGAAAAAGCAGGGAAAGCAATAGAACCTTAAAAATTAAAGGGAAATAAAATGAGAGAATTAACTTTTAGGTGCCATCTAAGATGTGTAAAGTCCTTCTCCCACATGTCTCCTTTGCAACCTATATTTGCCAATGGCTCATTGGAAACAATATATGACAGGGACAAAAGACCTGGACATGTAGATGTATGTATTAACTTAGGTGTCAGAGAGTGGTGGCTGAAGAAAAAAAATGCACAAATTATAATGAAAGAGAATGCAGTATGTTTCTCCCTGTGGACTATGTACCAGAAGCAGCTCTGTGTCATCTCCTTCCATGGGAGGAGTAAAATTCGTCCTCTTAAGCTGAAAACCTTGGGCCCAAGACATGCTTTAAAAGAAGTATAAATAGTTCCAGATTTCCTAATCTCTTTGCATTTATTTTGTCTCCTCTCAACCTGCTAAATATCTTCAGGATTCTAGAAAATGCAAGTAAGTAAACTGAGTTATGCTCAATGAAAACTTGTAGAAAATAACACCAGAAAAAAAAAAGGCAAGAAACTGCAGAAGCAGCTCATTCTTCCGATAACTTAATCATCTAACATTTTCCTTGATTTTTGACCCATGGAATACTAGACTTGGCTTTAGCTGGAGTTGATTTGCAATTGTAGTATTTTTTGTGTTCTTGTATTAAGTAAGTCATTTTCAAAAAGAATATTTTAGTTTTCTCTTAGAATATGTTTAAATAATGCTCATTTTCTTTGATATGCAGATTTGAATGTTGTACAAAGATTCAATGAATTTATATTCTAGTAGTTAAAACAAGGCTCAGTAATAAAAAATTTTAGTAGTTTAATGTGTGTGTGTGTGTGCATCGTTCTGTAGTTTATTGACTATTACTCATCAGGTAATAGTCTAGGCACAGATTAAGAAGCTGGCACTCCAAAATTTTTAACTCTCTTCCCTATGTAACAAAGATATTATACTGGTGATGGGGCAAAAATAAAACTCCATTTCAAAATTCATGTGTCTGTCACCATGCTGAACTATTTGCACCTTATAAAAGTAAATGACAGATACAGGGTGAAGATTACCAATTGATACCATGTGCCCAGTATAAGAAATTTATTAAAAAAAAATTTATTCCTAGTATTTATGGATACTCTAAATCAATTCAATCTCAGTTTGATGGATAATAAGCCTGAAGTCCTGAAAGTTAAACTTATTCCAGTTGACAATAATTTTGGTCTTAATTGCTACAATTTTGTTAGTGTCCTGATGTCATCTATTGTTGGGATAGAGATATAAATGACTTATGTAGCTACCTTCCTAAGACACTGACTTCA
Source organism: Homo sapiens (assembly GCF_000001405.40). NCBI lineage: Eukaryota > Metazoa > Chordata > Mammalia > Primates > Hominidae > Homo > Homo sapiens. The sequence continues at coordinate 5,185,431 of NC_000011.10, read as the reverse complement.
GAAAAGACTCACATTTTAAATTTATGCTTATTGTTAGGTATTTTACAAGCAAGAGAACTAAAGTTTAAATTAAATGACGTGTCCAGGGTCATAGAGTCAGAATAAGATTTAGCCAGTATTTAAATACAACTATATATGTCCTTAGAGCTATACTGTTTCTATTACACCACACTATCTTTGCTCCGTGGATACATTCATGATTCAGTCAGAATATGCTGTCAGAAATATCCTAGAATAATGCTACAAGGAACCCAGGCCTATAATTTGGGTCATCACATATGACAATGTTTTAGGAAAAACAAAAAAACAAACAAATATTTAAAAACCATAGGTATCACAAAAGATCACCAGAAAAAATTTAAAGGCCAGAAAATCTGTTTTCTTTCCCCCTTATCTTCATTCCTGTATTTTTTTTTCACTTAGATTCTTCTCTCCCATCCCTAATGTCCTGATGAAGCCCCAGTCACTGTAACCCTCACTTCTATAACTACGCTTCACTCACATGCATGGCTCTGGCCTAGAACTGTGTCAGGAATGCTTCAAAATTATTCTTTCCTTTCTCTGAAACATCAACAGTTTACTTAAAATATTCTAACAATGTGAGATATATATTAAATAGTAAAACAATTAGTTTATGTAAATAAAGTAGATCCACAGAGTTAAATAACTTCAAATTTTATCTTAATATTTTTAAAGAACCTCATTCCAACTTAAAGCAAGGGTAAATTGCTCAGCTGTGTGGGTATTTTAAATTCTAAACTGTAACTCAAAAAATGGGACCCAAACATTTCCATCATATAAAATTTGAGACCAGAATATTTAGCACTTAGCAAAAACAAAAGTAAAGGTAGCAGACTATGCTATACAATGATCAGTATATTGAACTGTAATGGAATCAAGAGATGGGGGAGCAGTCATTTCTTAAGCCCCTGTGCCACCTCAAAAAACAAGAACTTTAGCCAGCTTTTACTTGAGAAAGGGAACTTAGAGAGTATAGAAGCCACCTGTCATTCACATATTATTATCTATGTTTATACCCATGCATCTATCTATCTATCTATCTATCTATCTATCTATCTATCTATCTATCTATCTTTCTAGCTAGCTAGCTAGCTAGCTAGCTAGCTATCTACCTATCTAATCTATCTCTGTATATGTCACCTACCCTGGTGTTGCATCTCCTAATCTTATTTTCCACTCAATATTAAACTTGCTTCTATCCACATTTTTTAGAACTAGTAATTAGTAATAACAAGTAATATATTGAAGTAATATAGACTCCTGTTTTATAATGTGAAAACATTAAATTACTTGCTGCTGTGGTGGTACTTAGATATACAATGTGTAAACTATTAATTATTGTCTCAATTTCAGAGCCTATTATTTGTCTATTAAGAGATTCAATTTCTCCCTGGTTTAGTCTTGGGAGGGTGTATGTGTCGAGGAATTTATCCATTTCTACTAGATTTTCTAGTTTATTTGCGTAGAGGTGTTTATAGTATTCTCTGATGGTAGTTTGTATGTCTGTGGGATTGGTGGTGATATCCCCTTTATCATTTCTTATTGCATCTATTTGAGTCTTCTCTCTTTTCTTCTTTATTAGTCTTGCTAGCAGTCTATCAATTTTGTTGATCTTTTCAAAAAACCAGCTCCTGGATTCATTGATTTTTTTAAGGGTTTTTTGTGTCTCAATCTCCTTCACTTCTGCTCTGATCTTACTTATTTCTTGCCTTCCGCTAGCTTTTGAAAGTGTTTGCTCTTGCTTCTCTAGTTCTTTTAATTGTGATGTTAGGGTGTCAATTTTAGATCTTTCCTGCTTTCTTTTGTGGGCATTTAGTGCTATAAATTTCCCTCTACACACTGCTTTAAATGTGTCCCAGAGATTCTGTTTTGTTGTATCTTTATTCTCGTTGGTTTCAAAGAACATCTTTATTTCTGCCTTCATTTTGTTATGTACCCAGTAGTCATTCAGGAGCAGGCTGTTCAGTTTCCATGTAGTTGAGTGGTTTTGAGTGAGTTTCTTAATCCTGAGTTCTAGTTTGATTGCACTGTGGTCTGAGAGACAGTTTGTTATTGTTTCTGTTCTTTTACGTTTGCTGAGGAGTGCTTCACTTCCAACTATGTGGTCAACTGGAATAGGTGTGGTGTGGTGCTGAGAAGAATGTATATTCTATTGATTTGGGATGGAGAGTTCTGTAGATGTCTATTAGGTCTGCTTGGTGCAGAGCTGAATTCAATTCCTGGATATCCTTGTTAACTTTCTGTCTCGTTGATCTGTCTAATGTTGACAGTGGGGTGTTAAAGTCTCCCATTATTATTGTGTGGGAGTCTAAGTCTCTTTGTAGGTCTCTAAGGACTTGCTTTATGAATCTGGGTGCTGCTGTATTGGGTGCATATATATTTAGGATAGTTAGCTCTTCTTGTTGAATTGATCCCTTTACCAGTATGTAATGGCCTTCTTTGTCTCTTTTGATCTTTGTTGGTTTAAAGTCTGTTTTATCAGAGACTAAGATTGCAAACCCTGCCTTTTTTTTGTTTTCCATTTGCTTGGTAGATCTTCCTCCATCCCTTTATTTTGAGCCTATGTGTGTCTCTCCACATGAGATTGGTTTCCTGAATACAGCACACTGATAGGTCTTGACTCTTTATCCAATTTGCCAGTCTGTGTCTTTTAATTGGAGCATTTAGCTCATTTACATTTAAGGTTAATATTGTTATGTGAGAATTTGATCCTGTCATTATGATGTTAGCTGGTTATTTTGCTTGCTAGTTGATGCAGTTTCTCCCTAGCCTTGATGGTCTTTACAATTTGGCATGTTTTTGCAGTGGCTGGTACTGGTTGTTTCTTTCCATGTTTACTGCTTCCTTCAGGAGCTCTTTTAGGGCAGGCCTGGTGGTGACAAAATCAGCAATTGCTTGTCTGTAAAGTATTTTATTTCTCCTTCACTTATGAAGCTTACCAACCAAAAAAAGTCCAGGACCAGATGGATTCACAGCCGAATTCTACCAGAGGTACAAGGAGGAGCTGGTACCATTCCTTCTGAAACTATTCCAATCAATAGAAAAAGAGGGAATCCTCCCTAACTCATTTTATGAGGCCAGCATCATCTTGATACCAAAGCCTAGCAGACACACAACAAAAAAAGAGAATTTTACACCAATATCCCTGATGAACATCGATGCAAAAATCCTCAGTAAAATACTGGCAAACCAAATCCAGGAGCACATCAAAAAGCTTATCCACCATGATCAAGTGGGCTTCATCCCTGGGATGCAGGGCTGGTTCAACATATGCAAATCAATAAACATAATCCAGCATATAAACAGAACCAAAGACACAAACCACATGATTATCTCAATAGATGCAGAAAAGGCCTTTGACAAAATTCAACAATGCTTCATACTAAAAACTCTCAATAAATTAGGTATCGATGGGACATATCTCAAAATAATAAGAGCTATCTATGACAAACCCACAGCCAATATCATACTGAATGGACAAAAACTGGAAGCATTCCCTTTGAAAACTGGCACAAGACAGGGATGCCCTCTCTCACCACTCCTATTCAACATAGTGTTGGAAGTTCTGGCCAGGGCAATCAGGCAAGAGAAAGAAATAAAGGGCATTCAATTAGGAAAAGAGGAAGTGAAATTGTCCCTGTTTGCAGATGACGTGATTGTATATCTAGAAAACCCCATCGTCTCAGCCCAAAATCTCCTTAAGCTGATAAGCAACTTCAGAAAAGTCTCAGCATACAAAATCAATGTGCAAAAATCACAAGCATTCCTATACACCAATAACAGACAAACAGAGAGCCAAATCATGAGTGAACTCCCATTCACAATTGCCTCAAAGAGAATAAAATACCTAGGAATCCAACTTACAAGGGATGTGAAGGACCTCTTCAAGGAGAACAACAAAACACTGCTCAACGAAATAAAAGAGGATACAAACAAATGGAAGAACATTCCATGCTCATGGATAGGAAGAATCAATATCGTGAAAATGGCCTTACTGCCCAAGGTAATTTATAGATTCAATGCCATCCCCATCAAGCTACCAATGACTTTCTTCACAGAATTGGAAAAAACTACTTTAAAGTTCATATGGAACCAAAAAAGAGCCCGCATTGACAAGTCAATCCTAAGCCAAAAGAACAAAGCTAGAGGCATCATGCTACCTGACTTCAAACTATACTACAAGGTACAGTAACCAAAACAACATGGTACTGGTACCAAAACAGAGATGTAGACCAATGGAGCAGAACAGAGCTCTCAGAAATAATACCACACATCCACAACTATCTGATCTTTGACAAACCTGACAAAAACAAGCAATGGGGAAAGGATTCCCTATTTAATAAATGATGCTGGGAAAACTGGCTAGCCATATGTAGAAAGCTGAAACTGGATCCCTTCCTTACACCTTATACAAAAATTATTTCAAGATGGATTAAAGACTTACATGTTAGACCTAAAACCATAAAAACCTTAGAAGAAAACCTAAGCAATACCATTCAGGACATAGGCATGGGCAAGGACTTCATGTCTAAAACACCAAAAGCAATGGCAACAAAAGACAAAATGGACAAATGGGATCTAATTAAACTAAAGAGCTTCTGCACAGCAAAAGAAACTACCATCAGAGTGAACAGGCAACCTACACAATGGGAGAAAATTTTTGCAATCTACTCATCTGACAAAGGGCTAATATCCAGAATCTACAATGAACTCAAACAAATTTACAAGAAAAAAACAAACAACTGCATCAACAAGGGGGTGAAGGATATGAACAGACACTTCTCAAAAGAAGACATTTATGCAGCCAAAAAACACATGAAAAAATGCTCATCATCACTGGCCATCAGAGAAATGCAAATCAAAACCACAATGAGATATCATCTCACACCAGTTAGAATGGTGATCATTAAAAAGTCAGGAAACCACAGGTGCTGGAGAGGATGTGGAGAAATAGGAACACTTTTACACTGTTGGTGGGACTATAAACTAGTTCAACCATTGTGGAAGTCAGTGTGGCAATTCCTCAGGGATCTAGAACTAGAAATACCATTTGACCCAGCCATCCTATTACTGGGTATATACCCAAAGGAATGTAAATCATGCTGCTATAAAGACACATGCACACGTATGTTTATTGTGGCACTATTCACAATAGCAAAGACTTGGAACCAACCCAAATGTCCAACAATGATAGACTGGATTAAGAAAATGTGGCACATATACATCATGGAATACTATGCAGCCATAAAAAATGATGAGTTCATGTCCTTTGTAGGGACATGGATGAAACTGGAAACCATCATTCTGAGCAAAGTATCGCAAGGACGAAAAACCAAACACCACATATTCTCACTCATAGGTGGGAGTTGAACAATGAGAACATTTGGACACAGTGAGGGGAACATCACACACCGGGGCCTGTTGTGGGGTGGGGGCCGGGGGGAGGGATAGCATTAGGAGATATACCTAATGTAAATGACGAGTTAATGGGTGCAGCACACCAACATGGCACATGTATACATATGTAACAAACCTGCATGTTGTGCACATGTACCCTAGAACTTAAAGTATAATAAACATATATATATATATACAATGTGTATTGTCTCATTTTCAATCAGTGACTGAAGTGGAAAGAAACAAAATATTTTATTCTTTACCACCTATGAGGCATATACTTTTTTTTTTGAGAGGGAGTCTCGCTCTGTCACCTAGGCTGGAGTGCAGTTGCGCGATCTCTGCTCACTGAAACTTCTGCCTCCCAGGTTCAAGCGATTCTCCTGCCTCAGCCTCTTGAGTAGCTGGGATTAAAGGTGCACACCACTATGCCCAGCTAATTTTTGTATTTTTAGTAGAGACGGGGTTTCATTGTTTTGGTCAAGCTGGTCTGGAACTCCTGACCTTGTGATCTACCCGCCTCAGCCTCTCAAAGTGCTGGGATTACAGGTGTGAGCCACCGTGCCAGGCTGGCATATAGATTTAAAAACCCAGCTCCGTCTGCCATTGCAAATATCTAAAGTTTATAATGTTTTATCCTATATTTTTGAGAAATAGATTAATTGGCAGAACAATTTAATTTGCTGTATGTCTTCAATGGCTAGCATATGGCTTAACAATAAGTTAAGGCCAATCAATGTGGAAGAAGGCATACATGCTATATTGCTTGAAATCTATTTTGTCAGACTTAATTCCCTCCCATTTCTGTAAGCAGCACAACTAAATTTCATAACTCTCTATTTTCCTTAGGGATATGATCAGTAAAAAATTTGATGCTGCGTTTTATATCTAGTTTTACCTTGATAGGCAGCATTGGATGGTAGTAAAGATCAAAGCTTTCAGATTTATCCTGCCTTACTTTAAATCCAGTAGGGCCTAGGGTAAGAGGCTGAAAGTCTGTGGGTTTTTTTTACATCTGTAGAAATAATAGTATTTATATAATGGTTATTTAAAGGGCTTTTCAATAGGTTATTGTGAAGATTTAATAAGTTAATATTTGTAAAGTAGTATGACACATATTAAGCAGTTATTAAATAATATCTACTAATTTTTTAAGGTACAAAAAATTAATTATTTGGTAGGACTTATATATTCGGTCTATTAACCCATTTTACTCTCCTTTCCCAGAGAAGAAAACATTGGAAAGAAAACAAATCTGATGAGACCTCATTCAGCCTAAGGTAGTGTTTCTAAATCCTCAACTTTGTAGTCTTTCACTAATGGCACTAGGCCTGGAATAAACTGTACATACGGCTCCTTTCTTTCGCAATCACACTAATTCCCAGGATGTGTGGTATGTCCTGATGGGAATCCCAGGGCTGGAAGGCTTGCATACCTGGATCTCCATCCCTTTTTCTTTTATGTACATTGTGGCTGTTGCAGGCAATATCTTCTTGATCTTCCTGATCATGACTGAGCGCAGTCTCCATGAGCCCATGTATCTCTTCCTATCCATGCTGGCCTCAGCCGACTTCCTGCTCGCCACTGCTGCAGCCCCTAAGGTGCTGGCTATCCTCTGGTTCCACTCCATGGACATATCCTTTGGTAGTTGTGTGTCTCAGATGTTCTTCATACATTTCATCTTTGTGGCAGAATCTGCTATTCTCCTGGCAATGGCATTTGACCGCTATGTGGCCATCTGTTACCCACTGAGATACACCATTTTAACCTCATCAGCCGTCAGGAAGATTGGCATAGCAGCTGTGGTCAGGAGCTTTTTCATCTGCTGTCCGTTCATCTTCCTGGTATACCGACTTACATATTGTGGGAGAAACATCATTCCTCATTCCTACTGTGAGCACATTGCCAGATTGGCTTGTGGCAATATCAATGTCAATATCATTTATGGCCTCACTGTGGCCCTACTCTCTACAGGACTGGATATAGTGCTTATCATTATATCCTACACAATGATCCTTCACTCAGTGTTTCAGATATCTTCCTGGGCTGCCAGGTTCAAGGCCCTTAGTACGTGCGGCTCTCATATCTGTGTCATATTTATGTTCTATACCCCAGCATTCTTTTCATTTCTTGCCCATCGCTTTGGAGGTAAAACCATCCCTCACCACATTCACATCCTAGTGGGCAGTCTCTATGTGTTAGTGCCCCCTATGCTAAACCCCATCATTTATGGGGTGAAGACCAAACAAATTAAAGATCGAGTGATTTTGCTTTTCTCTCCTATCAGTGTATGCTGTTAAGATTAAAAAGTCTGTTTTAGGGAATAGAATAAATACAATCCATAGAAATCCTCAAACACACTTAAAATGATGGTGTCTATCAAAGTGTCCACGGAATTTTGCTAAGGCACTCAAAGATCAAAGGTTTTGAAAAAAAAAATACTTTAATGAAATTCTCCATTTTTTCAGAAATACTATTTTCATGAATTTTAACTTAAAAATATATAAAGATAATCGAGAAAAGAGAAATATATTTTAGGGTTTAATCCAGATTGACTTTTCCTACGTAGAGCTAGGAAGTGGGGTTTTGAGTCAGTCACTGGGCTTTTTATAGTCAGTCTGAAATTCTGCTGAAATGTACAACACTCCCGCTGTACTCTGCAGAGACTTGAACCAATAACATGAAGCCATAATATTATTTTTGTCAACACCTGTTACTTAAGTTAAAATGTTATCCCTAGAATATTTTCTAACTCACTGACATCTCACAAAGTCTCTTGTATGGAATAGACACATAATACATATGTATTCAACAAGTGAATAATAGTGAATTAAAGCAAATAATAACCAATATTAAATTAACAAATATGAGATTGCCTGGATGATGTAAAATCTGATACACATTTCCCCCTATAGTGGAGATTTTAGACCCAAGTCATCAATGGAGCATCATGGCATCAACAGAAACATCACTGAAGAAGTAAAATGATTGAAAATTTCTATACCTGGGTGATAAATAAATTTTTAAAATAAACATTTTTTAAAAAGCTAGAGAAGATTAAGGAGAATATTTTCCAAGAAACTTAAATAAAAAAGAATGTAATCCCAGCAAAAGTAATTATCTATGATATTATCTACAGACTATACCTTAATCCCTTCACATCAATACAAATTTTTACAATCTCTCCTTCTTAAAAGCCTAGAACAATGCCATGAGAATGTTTAAAAAATGACCTTATTTACACCTAAAGAAAGACAAAAAAAAAACTTTGAGAAATCTGAGGTACTATCTTAAACACTTGAAATCTACTCATGCTTGGCTTATGCTTAGCTTTTTCTGTGATTTTTATAGAAATTTATACATGTATTAACACTTAGATTTACATATACACACACTTAATTTATCTACATTTATATGTGGATGTACCTTCATATATATGTACACACACACACACACACACATATATATATGCATGCACACACACACACACACACGTTTGTGCACCAAAGAATAAGAAAGTTAGAAATAGACTTCCTACAGTATTTCCATTATTGGGAAGGGAGAATACATAAAACATTCTAAAAAATCTAATTAATTTGTTTCTGCTAGTACTACACTAAATATTTAAGTGCTATTTTGAATTGTCTTCAAAATATTTGCATTTCTCAGTACATCTGTTAAACTTCATATAGTTTTTTTTTCTACTCTACACAATGTTTTGGACATTCTAATGTGAAATTTACACTCAGCGTTGCATTTCTCCATAAAAGTAATAATATGATGGAAAATGAGGGAATAGATAGATTGCAGTATGATGACAGAGGATTTGACTGAAAGGTAGGAAGATTTTGTATACTTGATTTTAGCAGTGGGGAGCTAAGAAAATGCCAATTTCACATCCAAAATGCATGCAACATGATATCTTAAATAGGTATATGAATATATATAATCATATATACATATATAGCTACACAGTAACATATACATGTCATTTTGACAGTTAAAATGGTAGAAGTAAAAATGATTGAATTTACAATCTCTAAATAAACTTTCAGTTGAGCACTCAGATTCTGAAAGGATTTAGGAAATGGCTGTTGCTATGCAGCTGCTGAATTTAACATTACTGAGCCATTGCCCTGGACATGAGAAGAAGTTTTCATGTTCTACTGTCTCCTTAACCAGTAATCCTTCAGCAGGAAGGGAAAGGGAAAGGGAAAGGGAAAGGGAAAGGGAAAGGGAGGGAAGGGAAAGGAAAGGGAAGGGAAGGAAAGGAAAGGAAAAAGGAAAGGAAAGGAAAGGAAAGGAAAGGAAAGGAAAGGAAAGGTCCAAAAAAGGGCAGAAACCAAACAATTTTAAAGCAGGGAGTTTTGGAAGCACTTAGCTAAAACTGATATGGTGTTCTAGACAGAATTAGCAAAAACAAAAAACAAAAGGTACAGGGTGCTAAGTGATTGATAAGGTGAGAATAGTATTTCAAATGAGCAAGAGATCCAAGACCAGTACCACTACAGACTATTGTTTTATAACTGAGGTCTTAGTTAATATCAATCAAGCAAAATTTTGATTTCGGGGGGAGAAAAAAGACCAAATTGTAATCTGGGGTGTATTTCTTTATTTACATCTTTGCCTTTATTTTTTAACTTTCTTTTGTATATGATATGATCATTTAAGTATAAGTCACCTGAAAGTAAAAAGAGTTATATAAGGACAACATAAAAATCAATAATGTTTTATGCAACTGCAAGAACCAATAGGAAAATAGAATGGGAAAAATGTCACATTCAAAATGATGATAGAGGCCAGACGTGGTGGCGCACACCTGTAATCCCAGCTACATGGGAGGCTGAGGCAGGAGAATGATTTGAATTCTGGAGGCGGAGGTTGCAGTGAGCCGAGATCGCGTCACCTCACTCTAGCCTGGACCACAGAGAGAGACTCCATCTCAAAAAAACCAAAAATACGTAAAACAAAAACAAAAAGAAAAACAAAAAATAAAACCCAAAATGATAATAGAACTGTATATGTGCCTAAAATAAATGAAATAATTGTTTATTATACATTGTTTATTGTAACAATTCTCTCAGAAACAACTCATAATAAATTCAATTCAACCCTAATCAAAATAAAAATTTGTCTTGTTTTAAATTTCTTTCCATTTTTATTGTGATAAAGTTTATAAATATGCTACATATAATACCGTATATCATATATAATAAAGCTCACCATATTAACCATTTTTAAGTATAATTATGTGGCATTAATTATATTAACAATATTGTGCCGCTATCACCATGATCTCATGCCAAAACTTTTTCATCATCCAAGCAGAAATGCTATACTTGTTAGGCAGTAACTCCCCAGTCCCATAGTAACCTCTAATCTACTATATGTTTCTCTAAATCAGTCTATTTTAGATAATTCATATAAATAGATTCATACAATATTTGTTGTTTTGTGTCTGGCTTATTTTACCCAACATAAGGTTTCAAAGTCCATCCATGCCATAACATGTATAGTGGTAAGTCTTTGCTTAATGTTGTCCATTCATAGATTCTTGGAAACTGAAACTTTAAGCCAAGTGACATATAATGATATCCATTTTTTTTCTCATCTAACAGTGTTGGCTAAAACAGTGTTATTTGAGGATCTGTTTTACATCATTTCACTTAAAGTTGCCATTTCCAAAAACCTATTCATGACATTAAATAAGGACTTACTGCATCTGTACTTCATTCTTTTTTATTGCTACATAATATTCCATTGTGTGTATATATCACATTTGTTTATTCATTCATCTGTTTATGTACATTCTGGTTGTTTCCACCTTTTGGCTATTGTGAATAATGCTACAATGAACATTTCAGTACAAGTACCTGTTTAAATCTTTATATATATTTTTAATATATACCTAGGAGAGGAATTTTGGGGTCATATGTTATTCAGTGCCTAAGTTTTTGAAGAACTGTCAAAATATTTTCTACAGAAGTTGCACCACTTAACATTTTTAGCAGCAATATATGAGGATTCCAATTTTCTTATATCTTTGTCAACACTTGTTACTTTTCATTTGTTTTGTTTCTCTTAAAGTATAGACATTCTAGTAAGTTTGAAGTAGTGTCTTATTGTGGTTTTGGTTTGCATTTTATGTGCCAATGTTCATTTGTATATCTTCTTTCTAGAAATTACTCATTCCCATCATTTGCATATTTTTAAATTGAGTTGTTTGTCTTTTTGTTTTTGAGTTGTAGGACTTTTTCATACATTCTGGATATTAAACTTATGAAATACATAATTTGCAAAGATGTTCTCTCATCTTATAGGTTGTCTTTTTACTTTCTTAAAGTCGTTTGTTGCATGAACTTTTTAAATGAAATCCAATTTATGTATTTATTTTTTGTTACTCATACTTTTTGTGTCATATCTAAGAATCTATTGTAAAATCAAAGTTCATGAAGATTTACCCATGCTTCCTTCCGAGGGTGTTATGGCTTTAGTTCAATTTAGGTCATTACACAATTTTTATGCATGCTGGCTTTTAATCCTTATTTGAAAGAATACAAAGTTAGCATGACAACAAAAATATAGCTTGACCAATTGAATATGAAGTTGTATATAAAAACAGAATAAGAACGGCAGTATGTGCATGTGGCAAAAAGGACACAGATCAAACAACAGAAAACAGTCTAGAATTAGATCCATATTTATATAAAAATATAAAATAAAATGTATGTAATCCCTCATCATGCTTGGAGACCAACCCTTGATCTTATACTTGGTATTAGAAAAATTGTTTATATGTTTGAGAATACTTAAGTAAAATTCTAATTACCCAAGTCCCCCAAACAAATTTCAGGTGGAATCAAGAATCTCTAACACTATTATTACCTGTCTTTATCATGATTACTGTCTCTATCCCCCTTTATTACTATCTACACCACTATCCCTATCTGCAGTTCCGTCTCTAGCTCTAGATCCAACTCTGCATCTCTCCACTTTTTACTTTGTATATGGAATAGCTTCTTAAGAATGAAAAGTATATAATATTAATAAAATGTATGTTAACCTGACTACATAAAAGTTTTGTAAATGATTGTGTATGAAAAAATTAATGAAGATAAGATGCGGGGGAAGTATATAAGAAATATAAACCAATGTCTTATATTTAAATTATAATTAATGATATTGTGTAACTATTTTATGTTTATTTGGGTTTTGCATTGACATTGGCATGTTCTTATGTATACTCTCTCCAGCATGCTTCTCAGGAACTATTCCCCCCTTTCTCTCTAATACACCCGAAGTTTCTGGGAATAATTATTCTTGGTTAATTGCTTCTTGAGGGATACTGAATCATTCTGTCTCTATGTCCTCCAGTCAACTAAGCACATATACAGGGAGGTAGTAACTATGTCCACAGCCCAGTTGAAAGTAAACAGTAACAAATAGTATGCATGGATTGATGTGGTAGCTCTCAGTTCCACCTAGGTAAGTATCTGAGGTCTAGGATCAACTATAGTTATGCCTAATGGTATAATGTGCTGGCTTGCACCAGCTTAGGAAAGCTGATTATGCTCATCTCAGCTCTGCATTTAATAGCATCTCTTTGGTAGTCTGAAATTGATCATGGTAGGAGTCATTAAAACACAAAAAATCGGTAACTGGTAAAAATCAGGGCATTTTTATTTGGAAATATTTATTACTATCCCACTGATTATGCCTAACGAAGAGCCCTGGCCCAACACGGGAAGAAGAGTTCAGCCTTGGTCACATTCTTATTTCTGAGCCCCATCCTGAATTCCATTTCTGGCCTCCAACGTTAATACCTAAGGCTCTGCTGCAGATAAGTGGAACTTTAGTGTTAATAAACTTGTTCCCAGATAAATATCTCTAAGCCTGTACCCTAGCCCCACCATCACATGTGACTTGTGAGATACTGATGCTTCTGATCTTGCTCCCTGACCCGGTTCCAGCAGAAGACTGACCCTTCTGCAAAATACAGAGGAGCTTTTCTAATCTATGGATAGCAGGTGGAGAAAGAGTGAACTGGTAAGTTAAAGAAAAAAATGGAAAATACTTTATTCTAGGAGAAACTATCCTTGTGTTCTAATATATTAAATTGTTCTTTTTATTCTATACATTTAATATTTACTATATTCCACATATAATGATAAACAATATATAAATATTACTTTAAAATACTATTATTGTCTTTATAGCAAATATCTGGGTCTCAGATAACTTGCAATATAAATCAACTTTAATATAATCCCAAGATTACACGTCAATTAAATGTTAGAACCATCAATACTCTTTATTAGTGTTATATTACTTTAGCTATTCATCTACTCTCTTTATAAACACTACAAGTTAGCAGTTTCTTCAGTCATAATTTCCATGTGAATCTGTCATCTCTATGCTTATTTTAACTGTTTTTCACTGCCATAGATGACCCAACTTGAGATTTCTATTAATGCCTTATCTGGCATATAGGCTATGTTGGAATACTTTTCTGCATGACCCATTAGGTTTCTCTTCCACTCACTGTGGCTTACCTGTGCCCTTGTTTCAGAAATAAATTTTTTATCCCTTTTTCTGAGGAAATGTCTTAGATATGACTGTTAGCTCAGAACTTGATGTGCAATAACTGAGTAGAAACTTATATATTCCAGTCTCCATGTGCTTCTCAATATCTTCAGAGGAAGTATCACCATGACGTTTTCAAACGTTCCATAACATTCACACCTACAACATTCACTCTCGTTGGCATCCCGGGACTGGAGGCAGAACATTATGTGGATATCCATCCCCTTCTGCCTGATATACACCATCATCTTTCCGGGAAATGGCATCATTCTTCACATCATCCGAATTGACTCTTCCTTGCACCAACCCATGTACTATTTTCTGGCCATGCCGGCCTTTGTTGAACTTGGTGTCTCTGCTTCCACCATGCCCACTGTGTTAAGCATATTCCTCTTTGGCATTAACGATGTCAGTTTTGGTGGTTGCCTGCTCCAGATGTTTTCTATGCACTCTTTCACTCTTATGGAGTCAGGTGTCCTTCTGGCAATGTCAGTGGACCGCTTTGTGGCCATCTACAGCCCACTGCGCTACACAACCATTCTGACAATTGCCTGCATTTCTGGGACGGGTGCCGCCATTGCCTTGCGCAGTGTAATGCTTATGCTCCCACTGCTCTTTCTCCTGAGGCGTCTGCCTTTCTGTGGCCACAATACCCTCACACACTCTTATTGCCTCCACTCAGATCTGATCAAATTGCCCTGTGGAGACACACGTCCCAATAGCATCCTGGCTCTATTTGTCATTACCTTCACATTTGGACTGGACTTATTGTTCATTGTGGTTTCTTATGTGCTGATTCTTCATACAGTACTGGAAATAGCTTCTGGAGCAGGGCGGTGGCAGGCACTCAACACATGTGTGTCGCACATATGTGCTGTGCTTGTGTACTATGTGCCCATGATCAGCCTCTCCCTGATGCACCGCTTTGGACGGCATTTACCTCCACTTTTCCAGACTGTCACGGCCAATGCTTACCTCTTTTTTCCTCCTGTGGTCAACCCCATTGTCTATAGTATCAAAATCAAAGAAATTCGCAACAGCGTTGTTCTTACACTATCCAGGAAGAGGGGTGAGTTCTAATGGAGACTGAAGATACCCTGACAGCACAGGCACTTAGATCAGGCTTTATTACCTGAATATTAGCTTTGCAAATATGAAAAATTCCATGGCTTATTATTGCTTGTTAATGAGCTTTAACATTTTGTAGATGAAGAAAAAAAACAGTTTTATATATTTCCCTGAGAATAGGAAATGGCATTACTCTGAAATAAAATTGTGGGAGGAGGCATAGAACACAGGCTTTGTCCTGGTGATGACACACTTTGTGTGCTGAATCCTTGAATACTCAATTCAGTGACATTTGGTTCTGGGAATATGTAGAAAGAGTCTTGGGGAGGTTTAAGTTTCTGGTTATATTAAAATTAGTGATACATACTTGTGAAGGAAAATAATCAGGACACAAAAGAGTACATATTGTATTATTTTGTTTGTATAGTTTCAGAACATGTACATCTAATTTAATGTCAAAAAATCAGAACCCTGCTTACCTCTGATGGATATAAAGATGGAAGAATGGGGAGAGACATGAGGCAATTTCTGGGGAGATGGAAATATTTTGTTGTGTTAGGGATGTGGTGACATTGTTTTGTCAATTTGTCAAAACGGTACAGCTAAGATTTGCACATTTCTAGGTACATCAATTTTACATCAAAACTTCTGAATGATAATAATAACAAAAAGGAAAATAGTAATAATAATACAGATGATTAGATTTCATAGTGAATACAAGTGTGGAAAATACAAGAATGGTGTAATGTTGATAATTGTTGAAGTTGTGTCATGGGTGCCTGGAAATTAATTATAATATTCTGTTTACTTTGTGTAGTTTACAATTTCTGTAATAAAAAGATTCTTAAAAAAATTATACTCAGTGTGCTAATGTTAAATCTTAATTGAATATGCACCATGAAGCAGAGATAACTTTTAACTGGTCAGGAGGAAACTGTTTGGCTTTAGAAAGCTATTTTATTTTTAATGAGTTCAATACTAGAAAGAAAAAAAACCACAACTACTTGAAAATACTGTTTTAGAAGAAAATAACTAAAAAACAGAAAAAGCAAGGCCTACTCCTGCAATAGTCTTTGGTGACATCAATCACTCGGTAGTAGACAAGCTTCTGACAAACAAAAAGGTAGGGAGGACCAGAAGAATTCTAGAAAATCCCTCAGACAGGGATTGCAGAGCCCAACTTTTTGTTTTCTTCAGATAATTTTGAATTTCCATGAACCACAGTGAATATCCTATTAAACCACACAGTCTTGAGTGATTATCAGCCAACCAAGTAACTAATAGAAGGTTTGGTCAAATAAAAATATGTATCAAGTAATGAGTGGCAAAATTTATATTTTTTTCTGTTTTCCTCGAAATTAATTTATGGACTTAAAAAATTTTTAATGTATGAAACACCTTTGAAAGTGTTCAATGTAGTGAAGTCATAAAAACAACATGGGATTTAAAAAAAAATTCTCAAAATTTCAGAGTAATTTAGAAGCCCTTCCTTAACAATAATTATTGGTAACCTCCATTACAGTCCTGTATTACTATTCTTATGGTATACATGAAAAAACTAAGAGATAATTTTTGTAACTTTATCAAGTTCACACAATGGAAAACTTGTACACCCAAGAGCCAAGTCCTCAGTGTGATGTTATACACTTGAACCAGATGTACCTAGGTTGAAATCTTAGCTATCTTGCTATTAGTAATTGTGGGATCTTGCTAGTAGTATGACCTGTTTGAATATAATTTATTCATTTATAAATGAATAAGAAAATAAAATCCAGCTTTTATGATCTTGAAGATTAAATGAAATGGTGCACATTAAGCAATTAGCAAAGTTCCTAGTAAAATTTGCTCAATAAGTAATTATATTTTATTAAGTAATTACTTTTTCACCAAATCTGACTACAATACGTGAATACACAGTCAAATTTCACAATTCCTGACAGTCTCTCTAAATGCTAATTTTAAACTCAAGTACATAAAAATTAAAGTCACAAATTTCTCTGTCACGAGCTATAGTGTACCATACTAAGTGATTTATATAGATTAGTTCATTTAATCCACGGAACAAATATATGAAGAAATTATCAGTTTGTCTACATGTTACAAATGTAGAAACAGAAACATAGAGAAGTCAAGTCATCATGCCCCAAGTCAAAGAGTTAATAAGTGGCAGAATCACAACTCAAAACCAGACAATCCAACTAAAAACCTGATTCTTTAGCCCACCATATTATCAGTGGTCCCATAACTTAAAATTCAGATTTGACTTTAAAATTGGAATCTGAAGAACACCAAGCAATTCTGTAAACCATTTTCTCCTTTGAGATTCATGAGGACAAAATTCACTCACCTCTGTTTCCTCTAATTATAGTCATATATTAATAATGTATAAAGGTTTTCTCAAGAGGATCTTTATAAAAGGGGCCTTCCCACATTAGTTTAACTGCTTAGGTACTGATTCTCTTCTACTTCCTCAACCAACACTTTTAGAACTATCATCTAAGATTACATCGGTCAAATTTTCTTATGCTTACAATAAATAAATACTTTTTAAGCCAGCAACTTCACTTCACTTACTATGTTTTATTACATATTATTCATTCTAAGTGTAGTCCTAGATATAGTAGAGTACTACGCCAAGACATCAGGTCAAGGACAAAAAGATGATCCTAAAAGCAGAAGAGATGAGAAACAAATAGCATATAAAGGAGCTCCAAATCCTGTGACAACAAACATCTCAATAGAAATCACACAGTCCAAGAGAGAGTCGAATGAAATTTTCAAAGCGCTCAGGGATAAAAGAAAACTGATATTCAAGAATATTTTATAGGGTAAAACTGTTATTCAAATATAAGCAATATATAAAGTCTTTCCCAGACAAACAAAAGTTGAGAGAATTCACCAACACCAGACCATCTTGCAAAAAATGCTAAAGGGAGTTATGCAATCTGAAAGAAAAAAGACATTAACATGCAAAAGAAAACTTTTCAAAGTATGAAACCCACTGGTAAAATTAAGTACATAGACAAACCTAGAATACCCCATTACTGTATTTTTTGGTGTGCAATCCACACAGAACTCCAGTATGAAACCCAAAAAACAAATCTTTCAAAAACAGTAATAGCTATAGCAACCTTTTAAGATGTAGGTAATATAAAATATGTAAAATGAGACAAAAGTCAAAATGTGGGGGTGGAGTGGAGTTAAAGTGTAGAATTTTTTTGCCTGTTTTTGCCCTTGTTTATATTCCTTTATTTGCGATCTAAGATAATTCGTCATCCTTTAAAATAACTTGCTATATTTATAAGATGTTTCTTGTAAGCCCCATGGTAACCACAGCACAAAAATCTATAATAGATTTACTAAAAATAAAAAGTAACAAATTAAAATATGCTACCAGAGATAATCACATAACCATGAAGGAAAAAAAAGGAAGAGAGGAGTCTCCATACAGCCAAAAATAAGCAAAAAAAAAAAAAAAAAAAAAAAAAGGAAATCCTTACTTAGTAACTACACTGAGTGTAAATAGTCTCAGTTCCCCAATTAAAAGTAATAGAATGGTAAATGGATAAAGAAACAATATCCAACTTTATGCGATCTTCAAGAAACCCACTTCACCTATAAAGGCACACATAAATGAAAGTGAAGGGTTGGAAAAAAATTCCATGAACTGGAAACCAGAAAGAGCAGTAGTAATTGTACTTAAATCAGATAAAATAGACTACAAATTTAAAAACTGTAAGAAAAGATAAGGAGGGTCACTGTATAATAATAAAGGGGTCAATTCAGCAAGAGGATACAATTATAAATATTGATGTATCCAACATCAAAGTTCCCAAGTATATAAGGAAAACATTAATAGTCCTAAAGGGCGAGACAGACTGCAATACAATAATAGTAGGGAACTTTAAACACTTCAGTCTCAGTAATGAACAGATCGGCCAGACTAAAAATCAACAAATGAACAACACAGTTAATGTACCCACTATATCTAATAGACCCAACTGACATTAACAGAACTTGTCCCCCAACTGCTGAAGAAGATACATTTCTTTAAAGCAGCATGTACAACATTTTCCTAAATAAGGCCATATGTTAGGCCACAAGGTAAGTTTGTACAAATTTTTCAGAAGTAGAAATTTTATCAAGTATATTTTCTGACCACAGTGGAATAAAACTAGAAATGAATAACAAGAAGATCATCAGAAAATATAGAAACATATGGAAATCAAACAGTATGCTCCTGAATGTCAGGCCTCTGAGCCCAAGCTAAGCCATCATGTCCCCTGTGACCTGCATATACACATACAGATGGCCAGTTTCTGCCTTAACTGATGACATTCCACCACAAAAGAAGTGAAAATGGCCTGTTCCTGCCTTAACTGATGACATTGTCTTGTGAAATTCCTTCTCCTGGCTCATCCTGGCTCAAAAGCTCCCCTACTGAGCACCTTGTGACCCCCACTCCTGCCCGCCAGAGAACAACCCCCCTTTGACTGTAATTTTCCTTTACCTACCCAAATCTTATAAAACAGCCCCACTCCTATCTCCCTTTGCTGACTCTCTTTTTGGACTCAGCCTGCCTGCACCCAGGTGAAATAAACAGCCTTGTTGCTTACACAAAGCCTGTTTGGTAGTCTCTTCATATGGACGCGCATGAAATTTGGTGCCGTGACTCAGATTGGGGGACCTCCCTTGGGAGATCAATCCCCTGTCCTCCTGCTCTTTGCTCCGTGAGAAAGATCCACCTACGACCTCAGGTCCTCAAA
The DNA here is from genome assembly GCF_000001405.40 of Homo sapiens. Taxonomy (NCBI): domain Eukaryota; kingdom Metazoa; phylum Chordata; class Mammalia; order Primates; family Hominidae; genus Homo; species Homo sapiens. The sequence continues at coordinate 5,165,596 of NC_000011.10, read as the reverse complement.
CTGACCAGCCCAAGAAACATTTCACCAATTTCAAATCCGGTAAGTGGCCTCTTTTTACTGTCTTCTCCAACCTCCCTCACTATCCCTCAACTTCTTTCTCCTTTCAATCTTGGCACCACACTTCAATTTCTCCCTTCTCTTAATTTCAATTCCTTTCATTTTCCAGTAGAGACAAAGGAGACATGTTTTATCCGTGGACCCAAAACTCCGGTGCCAGTCACGGACTGGGAAGGCAGCCTTCCCTTGGTGTTTAATCATTGCAGGGACACCTCTCTGATTATTAAACCATGTTTCAGAGGTGTCAGACCACGCAGGGATGCCTGCCTTGGTCCTTCACCCTTAGCGGCAAATCCCACTTTTCTGGAGGGGGGTAAGTACCCCAACCCCTTCTCTCCATGTCTCTGCCCCTTCACTGCTTTTCTGGGGGCAAGAACCCCAATCCCTTATTTCTGTGCCCCAACCTCTTATCTCAGCACCCCATCCCTTATTTCCACGCCCCATCCTCTTATCTCTGCACCCCAATCCCTTATTTCTGCACCCCGACCTCTTATCTCTGCACCCTGATCCCTTATTTCTGCACCCCAACCTCTTATCTCTGCACCCCGATCCCTTATTTCTGTGCCCCAACCTCTTATCTCTGCACCCCAACCCCTTATTTCTGTGCCCTGACCTCTTATCTCTGCACCCCAACCCCTTATTTCCGTGCCCCAACCCCTTGCCCATTTTTCTGGTGAGTAAGAACCCCCGAACCCCTTCCCTCCGTGTCTGTACTCTTTCTTTTCTCTGGGCTTGCCTCCTTCACTAGGGGCAACCTTCCACCCTCCATTCCTCCCTCTCCCTTAGCCTGTGCTCTCAAGAACTTAAAACCTCTTCAACTCACACCTGACCTAAAACCTAAATGCCTTATTTTCTTCTGCAAGGCCGCTTGACTCCAATACAAACTCGACAGTGGTTCCAAATAGCCAGAAAATGGCACTTTCAATTTTTCCATTCTTCAAGATCTAAATAATTTTTGTCGTAAAACAGGCAAACAGTCTGAGGTGCCTGACGTCCAGGCATTCTTTTACACATTGGTCCCTCCCTAGTCTCTTCCCAATGCAACTTGTCCCAAATCTTCCTTCTTTCCCTCCCGCCTGTCCCCTCAGTCCCAACTCCAAGCGTCGCTGAGTCTTTCTAATCTTCCTTTTCTACAGACCCATCTGACGTCTCCCCTCCTCCCCAGGCTGCTCCTTGCCAGGCCGAGCTAGGTCCCAAATCTTCCTCAGCCTCAGCTCCTCCACCCTGTAATCTTTTTATCACCTCCCCTCCTCACACCCGGTCCGGTTTACAGTTTCATTCCGTGACTAGCCCTCCCCAACCTGCCCAGCAATTTCCTATTAAGAAGGTGGCTGAAGCTAAAGGCGTAGTCAAGGTTAATGCTCCTTTTTCTTTATCCGACCTCTCCCGAATCAGAGCGTTTAGGCTCTTTCATCAAATATGAAAAACCCAGCCCAGTTCATGGCTCGTTCGGCAGCAACCCTGAGACGCTTTACAGCCCTAGACCCTAAAAGGACAAAAGGCCACTTTATTCTCAATATACATTTTATTACCCAATCTGCTCCTGACATTAAATAAAACTCCAAAAATTAAATTCTGGACCTCAAACCCCACAACAGGACTCAATTAACCTCACCTTCAAGGTGTACAATAATAGAGTAGAGGCAGCCAAGTAGCAACATATTTTTGAGTTGCAATTCCTTGCCTCCACTGTGAGACAAACCCCAGCCACATCTCCAGCACACAAGAACTTCCAAATGCCTAAACCGCAGTGGCCAGGCGTTCCTCCGGAACCACCTCCCCCAGGAGCTTGCTACAAGTGCCAGAAATCTGGCCACCAGGCCAAGGAATGCCCGCAGCCCAGGATTCCTCCTAAGCCGTGTCCCATCTGTGCAGGACCCCACTAGAAATCGGACTGTTCAACTCACCTGGCAGCCACTCCTAGAGCCCCTGGAACTCTGGCCCAAGGCTCCCTGACTGACTCCTTCCCAGATCTTCTCGGCTTTGCAGCTGAAGACTGCCACTGCCTGATCGCCTCGGAAGCCCTGTAGACCATCACAGACACCGAGCTTTAGGTAATTCTCACAGTGGAGGGTAAGTCTGTACCCTTCTTAATCAGTATGGAGGCTACCCACTCCACATTACCTTCTTTTCAAAGGCCTGTTTCCCTTGCCTCCATAACTGTTGTAGGTATTGATGGCCAGGCTTCTAAACCTCTTAAAATTCCCCAACTCTGGTGCTAACCGAGACGATACTCTTTTAAGCACTCCTTTTTCATTATCCCCACCTGCCAGTTCCCTTATTAGGCCGAGACACTTTAACTAAATTATCTGCTTCCCTGACTATTCCTGGGCTACAGCCATACCTCATTGCCATGTTTTCCCCCAGTTCAAAGCCTCCTTCACATCCTCCCCTTGTATCTCCCCACCTTAATCCACAAGTATAAGACACCTCTACTTCCTCCTTCGCGACCGATCATGCGCCCCTTACCATCCCATTAAAACCTAATCACTCTTACCCCGCTCAATGCCAGTATCCCATCCCACAGCATGCTTTGAAAGGATTAAAGCCTGTTATTACTTGCCTGTTACAGCATGGCCTTTTAAAGCCTATAAACTCTCCTTACCATTCCCCCATTTTACCTGTCCTAAAACCAGACAAGCCTTACAGGTTAGTTCAGAATCTGCATCTTATCAACCAAATTGTTTTGCCTATCCACCCCATGGTGCCAAACCCATATACTCTCCTATCCTCAATACCTCCATCTATAACCCATTATTCTGTTCTGGATCTCAAACATGCTTTCTTTACTATTCCTTTGCACCCTTCATTCCAGCCTCTCTTCGCTTTCACTTGGACTGACACTGACACCCATTAGGCTCAGCAAATTACCTGGGCTGTACTGCTGCAAGGCTTCACAGACAGACCCCATTACTTCAGTCAAGCCCAAATTTCATCCTCATGTGTTACCTATCTCGGCATAATTCTCATAAAAACACACGTGCTCTCCCTGCTGATTGTGTCCGATTAATCTCCCAAACCTCAATCCCTTCTACAAAACAACAACTCCTTTCCTTCCTAGGCATAGTTAGTGCGGTCAGAATTCTTACACAAGATCCAGGACTGCACCCTGTAGCCTTTCTGTCCAAATAACTTGACCTTACTGTTTTAGCCTAGCCCTCAGGTCTGCATGCAGTGGCTGCCGCTGCTTTAATACTTTTAGAGGCCCTAAAAATCACAAACTATGCTTAGCTCACTCTTCACATTTCTCATAACTTCTAAAATCTATTTTCTTCCTCATACCTGATGCATATACTTTCTGATCCCCGGCTCCTTCAGCTGTACTCACTCTTTGTTAAGTCCCACAATTACCATTGGTCCTGGCCCGGACTTCAATCCGGCCTCCCACATTATTCCTGATACCACACCTGACCCCCATGATTGTATCTCTCTGATCCACCTGACATTCACCCCATTTCCCCATATTTCCTTCTTTCCTTCTTTCCTGTTCCTCACCCTGATCACACTTGATTTATTGATGGCCGTTCCACCAGGCCTAATAGCCACACACCAGCAAAGGCAGGCTATGCTATAGTACAAACCACTAGCCTGCCTCTTCGAACCTCTCATTTCCTTTCCATCGTAGAAATCTATCCTCAAAGAAATAACTTCTCAGTGTTCCATCTGCTATTCTGCTACTCCTCAGGGATTATTCAGGCCCCCTCCCTTCCCTACACATCAAGCTCGAGGATTTGCCCCCACCCAGGACTGGCAAATTAGATTTACTCAACATGCCCTGAGTCAGATAACTAAAATACCTCTTAGTCTAGGTAGACACTTTCACTGGATAAGTAGAGGTCTTTCCTACAGGGTCTGAGAAGGCCACCGCAGTCATTTCTTCCCTTCTGTCAGACATAATTCCTCAGTTTAGCCTTCCTACCTCTATACAGTCTGATAACAGACCAGCCTTTATTAGTCAAATCAGCCAAGCAGTTTTTCAGGCTCTTAGTATTCAGTAAAACCTTTATATCCCTTACGGTCCTCCGTCTTCAGGAAAAGTAGAACGGACTAAATGTCTTTTAAAAACACACCTCACCAAGCTCAGCCACCAACTTAAAAAGGACTGGACAATACTTTTACCACTTTTCTTTCTCAGAAGTCAGACCTGTCCTCAGAATGCTACAGGGTACAGCCCATTTGAGCTCCTGTATAGATTTGCCTTTTTATTAGGCCCCAGTCTAATTCCAGACACCAGACCAACTTAGAATGTGCCCCAAAAAAACTTGTCATCCCTGCTATCTTCTGTCTAGTCATACTCCTATTCACCATTCTCAACTACTCATACATGCCCTGCTCTTGTTTACACTGCCGGTTTACACTGTTTTTCCAAGCCATCACAGCTGATATCTCCTGGTGCTATCCCCAAACTGCCACTCTTAACTCTTGAAGTAAATAAATAATCTTTGCTGGCAGGACTATGTTGAATCTCCTTAGGCACTCTTTAATCAGATGTCCTAGGTCCTCCCACTTCTTAGTCCTTTAATACCTGTTTTTCTCCTTCTCTTATTCCATTTGGTTTTTCAATCCATACAAAACCGTATCCAGGCCATCACCAATAATTCTACATGACAAATGTTTCTTCTAACAACCCCACAATATCACCCCTTACCACAAAATCTTCCTTCAGCTTAATCTCTCCCACTCTAGGTTCCCACGCCGCCCCTAATCCCGCTCGAAGCAGCCCTGAGAAATATCGCCCATTATCTCTCCATACCATCCCCCAAAATTTTCGCTGCCCCAACACTTCAACACTATTATGTTTTATTTTTCTTATTAATATAAGAAGACAGGAATGTCAGGCCTCTGAGCCCAAGCTAAGCCATCATGTCCCCTGTGACCTGCAGGTACACATACAGATGGCCAGTTCCTGCCTTAACTGATGACATTCCACCACAAAAGAAGTGAAAATGGCCTGTTCCTGCCTTAACTGATGACATTGTCTTGTGAAAGTCCTTCTCCTGGCTCATCCTGGCTCAAAAGCTCCCCTACTGAGCACCTTGTGACCCCCCACTCCTGCCCGCCAGAGAACAACCCCCCTTTGACTGTAATTTTCCTTTACCTACCCAAATCTTATAAAACAGCCCCACTCCTATCTCCCTTTGCTGACTCTCTTTTCGGACTCAGCCCGCCTGCACCCAGGTGATAAAAAGCTTTATTGCTCACACAAAGCCTGTTTGGTAGTCTCCTCACAGGGATGCGCATGAAACTGAATAACCAATGAGTCACTAAAGAAATTAAGAAGGAAATTTTAAAACTTCTTGAAACAAGTGAAAATGGAAATACAACATACCAAAACCTACAGGATATGGCAAAAGCAGTACTTAGAGGGAAGTTCATAGCAATAAACACCTATATCCAAAAAAGTAGAAAGGCTTCAACTAAGCAACCAAACAATGTACCTCAAGGAAATAGGAAAGCAAGAACAAACCAAATGCAAAATTAATAGAAGGGGAGAAATAAGAAAGATCAGAGAAGAAACAAATGAAATTGAGACCAAAAAATACAGAAAATCATTAAAAACAAACAGTTGCTTTCTTGGAAAGGTAAACAAAATCAACAAAACTTTAAGAAAAAAGAGTCAAATAAAATTAGAAAATGAAAAAGAGGATATAACAATTGAGACCTCAGCAACACAAAGACTCATTAGATACTATTATGAACAACTGTATTCCAACAAATTGGAAAATCTAGAATAAATGGATAAATTCCTGGACACATACAGCCTAGCAAGACTGAAGCATGTAGAAACAGAAAACCTCAATAGAACAATAATGAATAACAAGATTAAAGTTGTAATATAAAGTTTCCTATTAAAGAAAAGCCCAGGACTCGATGGGCTACCAAACATTTCAAGTAGAACTAATACTAATCGTACTCAAATTCCTCAAACAAACAAACAAATAAAAACTGAAAAGAAGGGCCTACTTCTAAACTTATTCTATGAGGCAAGCATTACTCTAATATACCCAAACCAGACCAGGACACAACAACAAATGCACCTCAAAGGAGGTACAGTAGGAACATACCTCAAAATAATAAAAACCATATAGGACAAACCAAGTGCTAACATTATGCTGAACAGAGAAACATTGAAGGCCTTTCCTCTAAGGACTGAAATAAGGCAAGAATGCTCACTTTCATTGCCATTATTTAACATAATATTGGAAGTCTTGGAAAGAGAAATTCAGGAAGAGAAAGAAAGTGCATCCAAATTGGAAAGGAAGAAGTTAAATTAGCCTAGTTTGTAGATGACATGATCTTATACTTAGAAAAAACCTAAAAACTTCACTAAATACTATTAAAACGATTTAAAAAAATCAATAAAGTTACAGGATATGAAATAAAAATACAAAATCAGTAGCATTTCATATATAAAAAGTTATCAATCTGCAAAAAAAATCAATAAAACAATCTTATTTACAATAGCAATAAAAATATAAAATACCCAGGAGTCAATCTAACCCAAGAAGTAAAAGATCTCTATAAGAAAAATTATAAAACTCTGGTGAAAGAAATAGAAGAGGGCACACAAATAAAATGGAACGATATTCCATGCTCATGAACTAGAAGAATTAATATTAAAATGACAATACTACCCAAAGCAATGTACAGATTCAGTGCAATTTCTGTCAAAATACCAATGGCATTCACAGAAATAGAAAAACAATCCTAATATTTATATGGAACCACAAAAGATCCCCAATAGCTAAAGCAATCCTGAGCAAAAAGAACAAAACCAAAGCTATCACACTATATGACTTCAAAATCTACTACAAAGCTACAGTAGCCAAACAGCACAGTACTGCATAAAGACAGACATACAGCCCAATGGAACAGCATAGAGAACCCAGATGCAAATCCAGGCACTTAACAACCAAGTCATCTTTAACAAAGGCATCAAGAACATAAAAATAGGAACAAATGGGCCAGGTGCAGTGGCTCACACCTGTAATCCCAGCACTTTGTGAGGCTGAGGTGGGGGGATCACGAGGTCAGGAGTTCAAGACCAGCCTGACCAACGTGGTGACACTCCGTCTCTACTAAAAATACAAAAATTAGCCAGGCATGGTGGGGCGCTCCTGTAATCCCAGATACTCAGGAGGCTGAGGCAGGAGAATCGCTTGAACCTGGGAGGCAGAAGTTGCAGTGATCCAAGATTGTGCTGCCACTGCACTCCAGCCTGGGCAACAGTGAGACTCCATCTCAAAAAAAAAAAAAAAAAAGGTACAAACAGTCTTTTCAAGAAACAGTGCTAGGAAAACTGGATATCCATTTGCAAAAGAGTAAAATCGGACCCCTATCTCTCACTATATACAAAAATCAAATCAAGATGGATTAAAGACTTGAATCCAATACCTGAAATTATGAAACTACTGGAAGAAAACAGTGGGGAAACCCTCCAGGGCATTCATTGATTTGGGCAAATACTGTCTATGAGACTTCAAAAGCACAAATAACCAAAACAAAAATAGACAATTGGGATTGTTTGAAGCTCTGCACAGCAAAGAAAATAATAAAGTGAAGAGACAACCCAAAGAATGGGAGAAAATATTTGCAAACTATATATTTTACAAGGAATTGATAACCAGAATATGCAAGAAACTCAAGCAACTCAACAGAAAATAAATAAATAAATAAATAATGGCCAAAAGACCTGAATAGATATTTCTCAAAAGAAGCCATACAAATGGCCCAGAGGTATTTGAAAAAATGTTCAATATCACTAATCACCAGATAAATCAAAACCACAATGTGATATCATCTCACCTTAGTTAAAATAGCTTATAACAAAACAAAAGGAAATAACAGATGCTTGTGTGGATGTGGACAAAGGGAAACCCTCTTACACTGTTGGTGGGAGTACAAATTGGTACAGCAATTATGAAGGACAGTATGGAGATTTGTCAAAAATGTAAAGTAGAACTACCATATGATCCAGCAATATCACTCCTAGGTATATACCCTTAAAAGAATAAATTAGTATGTCGAAGATATATCAGTACTCCCATCTTTATTATAGCACTATTCACAAACGCCAAGATTTGAAATCAACTGATGTATTCGTCAACAGATAAATGGATAAAGAAAATAATACACACACACACACACACACACACACACAATGGAATATTATTCAACCATAAAAAAGAATGAAATATTATCAATTACAGTAACATAAATGGTACTGAAAGCAATTACGTTAAGTGAAATAAGCCAAGCACAGAAAGAAAAATATCACATGTTCTAACTCGTGTGGAAGTTAAAAACGTGGATCTTATGAAGACAGAGAGTAGATTGGTAGTTACCGGCGGCGGGAGGGAAGAAAGGAATGAGAAATCAAGCAAAAAAACCCTCCCACTCTCTCTCTCTCCCTCTGTGTGTATGTGTGCATATGTATGTATGTGTATATATATATAAAAATGTGAATATGTATGTATACATATAAATTTGTATATATATGTATGTATGTATTACCACTGAACCGTACACTCAAAAATGGTAAAGATGGGCTGGGTGCGGTGGCCAATGCCTGTAATCTCAGCACTTTGGGAGGCCAAGGCAGGTGGATCATGAGGTCAGGAGTCCAAGACCAGCCTGACCAACATGGTGAAACCCTGTCTCTACTAAAAATACAAAAAATTAGCCAGGCGTGGTGGCAGGCGCCTGTAATCCCACCTACTTGGGAGGCTTGGGCAGGAGAATCGCTTGAACCTGGTGGGGGCGGAGGTTGCAGTGAGCCAAGATCCTACCACTGCACTCCAGCCTGGATGACGGAGCGAGACTCCGTCTCAAGGAAAAAAAAAAAGTAAAGACGGTAAATTACGTATGTATATTTTACCTTAATAAAAATAAATTTAAAAAATATTCAGTAGGCCGGGTGCAGTGGCTCACGCCTGTGATCCCAGCACTTTGGGAGGCGGAGGCGGGTGGATCACGAGGTCGCGAGATCGAGACCATCCTGGCTAACACAGTGAAACCCCGTCTCTACTAAAAAAATACAAAAAATTAGCCGGGCTTGGTGGCGGGTGCCTGTAGTCCCAGCTACTATGGAGGCTGAGGCGGGAGAATGGCGTGAACGCGGGGGGCGGAGCTTGCAGTGAGCAGAGATCAGGGGCCACTGCACTCCAGCCTGGGCGACAGAGAGAGACTCTGTCTCAAAAAAAAGAAAAAAAAAATTTAGTAGACTAGCTAAAAAAATCCAGAGATAGTTATTGATGCATATGTAAAAGTCTTCCAATATTTACAAGTACAATGAAAAAAAAATAACCTTGAATTAAGTGTAGAACTCATTGACAATGTTTCAAAGGATGTGAGGGATAAACTAAAATTTGGGCAGTACATGCTGTTCCTGTGTACTTGGAACAGAGGGAGAAAATCTGGGCTGGAAATATTGTTATAGGAGTTAGCACATGAAGGTGACAACTAAATTATTTGGAGTAGATGGAGTCACCAGCACATGTGAATAGTTTTAGAATGAAATGACCCAAGATAGAACTTTGGAGAGCCCCCAAATTTAAATAAAATCAGTATAAGAGAAGAGGAAGAAACCAAATGGTATACTAGTCTAAATTGTTTCTTAGTGACAAAAGAATAACCTGAATATTAGATTAGCTGCCTATATGCTCTCTGAATCAATTTCATTCAACATGCAACAGTACTATTGTTTTATGCTCCTTCACAGAGGAAATTCTGGAAAGAGCACATGGGGTTCCTTGCCTTTTCATCTGTATTCCTTGTTCTCCTGGAAATCCATTATAAATATTCTCCACCATTAGTATGCTTCCTAAATTTGCCAATGTCTAAACATTATATCAAGTGTCTCTTAGCTACATTCAAGAAAGCCTAGAAACCAGCTGTAAAATGTCAAGGAGAATAGTGTCATATGCATAAGTCTTGCTTAGAATTTATCAGATACTTACGTGATAAATGAAATTGTAATGCATAATCCCATTTTACTAATAATTTAAAGGTAAGACTATAATTTTTTTCATTTCATTTAGAATATATAACATCTCACTCATAAATAGTAGGAATATAATGACTGTTTTTTGAAAGAAAAAGAAGGAAGGAAAGTAACAAGGAAGAAAGAGAGAAAAGAGGAAATGGATACCAGTTTACTCAAATGTTCAACAACTTGCTTCCAGCTTTACATTTGTAGGACTTAGAAATGTCCATTATAATTTGTCACTATAAGAATGTTACTTAATTTACTAAAAGATAAAAAAAACTTCAATAAAATAAAATGGGAAGAATGAGACTGAAGAAGACTGAGGAAGTAATTGTGTGGTAAAAAGTAGTTATGAATACAGATTTTTCTTTTCTGAATAAAAAGAGAAAAACCTTGCCTCAGTGAAAATGTCACCAAGATATTTATTTAAATAGGAATTGGCATAGAAACATGTTTGCATTAAATGGGCTTTAGAATTTTGCAAATAGAAATGGCAGAAAAGGAACATAGCTTGTAAAAAAATTTTTTGCATATGAATTATTCTGCATTTAGCCTGTGGGAAAAGAGAAAAAGAGAGAAAGGAGATTTCTGCAAGTGTAGAAATAATTACGGGGATATTAGGTGCCAGTGAACCCAAGAGGGCTGACTTAAAATTTGCTGGGTCCCTCGTGGTTTTGGCTATCAACTAGGAAATCCCTCATTTCATGCTCATAACTCCTCCTACTTCTCCACACATTCATAAAGGAATATTAAATTGGTGGATAGCCACTTTTTTCTCCAATTTGAGCTCAATAAATTCATCCCGTGTTTCAGAATGCTACAGACCTCACTATGAGTTTTACTGGGGGATGAGCACACAAAGATGGTCTGAGACAGACTTCCAGAAGAAGAAGAAGATGTCCGTGTTAGAGATAAATGAAAAGTGTAAAAAGTCATCTGCAAAATGTCCACAGTATATTATATTGGCACATATCCTGGCACCAAACAGAGTAAAATTTATGACATTAGCTGGATGCTGTTACACAGAGTGCAGACAGAAAGTAGAGCCATCACAGAACCCACAACTTAAGGGAATGAAGCTGGAATCCTTGGAGAAGAAAAATTGGTGAGTGATGAATGAAAGTGTTATGAAAAATGGACAATATTCTTCAGGTATCTGGTAAGAGCAAAACCAGCTCTCAATAATAATTGAGGAGTAAGTCTCACGATTCCAAGTTTCCTCTCCATAATTTAATTACCAGCTTCTCCAATAACAATCACTCTATCCAACTAACCAGGAACTTACATACACCACCACCTGCAACCCTGCTATCTGTGCCTGTCAGGTAGTACTCACATGTCAGCTCTTTGGTCTTGAATAAGTCAGACATTGTGATTGCCATTAAAGGATTCTTATTCTAATTGTGATTATCTTTGGAGAAGAAAAAATTTGCCCCTATTAGAAAAAGCCAGTGACTTATGGATGGGAGTGTCATAAAACTAAGCATTGGGGATCAAATCTGTGGAAATCAAAGTATTTAATTGACCTACTAGTTTACGGTAAATGTATGTTAGCTGATACAGCCTCCCTGTCATGAAATGTCCTCTGCTGATTTGGTTCTTTCATTTGAAGTTTAGCAGCAGTTGAACATTTGTTGTTGAATATTTGAGTAAACTTGTATCCATTTCCTCTTTTCTCTTTCTTCCTTGTTACTTACCTTCCTTTTCTTTCAAAAAAAAAAAAAAAAAAAAAGCTGCTTTTTCTTTCAAAGAACAGCTACTTCCTGAATTTCCAGCATATTGGTGACATGAAGCATACGGTTAGCTGATTCATGAGCTTACTGAGATAAAACAACTTTATTGAAGTGTCTAGGAAAGAATGAAGTAACTTTACTTTTCACTGTATCACAAACATTTCTCTAATGTATAGCTTAAAATGTACTGATTCAAAATATGTAATTTTTAGAAAATAACTATTTTGATCAGAGAACTTTTATATAAAGCATAAGAGCCCAGGTTTTTCAGAAAATTCAATCATCAGTGAAATTGAAAAGTGACTAAATTTTCTTTGGTTATTCATAGTGCTTTCCTCAATTTTAGTCTCCCCAAGTTTGTCCTGTCTTCCCTGTCTAGTTCTACATTTGACTTCTTCTAAGAAATCTGTCCTTTAGCTTTTTTATTTTTACTAATTTCTTATGTCAGAGCTCACAAAATTATATAAGCATCTCACCTATATTTCATTAAGAACTAATGAGCCTTTATTGGGCTATATTATGCTAATTATAACTCTGAACATTTTAAAACCAGGAAACTGGACTCTATTCTGGCTAAATGATTCATTTGCCCATTATTCAGTATCTGTGGTTTATCAGGAGCAAGTTCTCTTGCCGTAGGCATTGCTGCTGCTCATCTTGTCCCTTAGCAGTTCCTTCTCTCTAGATATTCCATAAAGTGTATTAAAATTTTAAACTCACAACATTTCAAGAGTTTCAGCTGTTTAAAATATATAGGAAAAAATATAATTCCCTTTAACTTTAAAGAAATATAAAAAGCAACCAGGAGCTTTGGCTCAGATTTGTCAAAAGTATAAAGATTTCAATTATTTCTAAAGCATTCTCTTTACATTATTCTGAATATAAAAAGAAATATATTATGTTCTTGGGTGTCAATTATTTCTACCTCTATTCTCTTTCATTGGGAATCTTTTACACCAATGTACTGGTCAGAGTCTGTTAATTTGCTTGTCTAAAATGTTCTTAAAGAAAATTGGAAATAGTTAAATACTAGAGGAATAGCTGAAATGTGAAATATGGAGAGGTTTATTAACCAAATTAAAATGCAATGTCCAATAAAAATAAACTTCTTTTTTTTTTTGTCCACAGGTCTGGAAAGAAATAACAGACTGGCCAGTAGTCCAATCCCCTGTCCAGGTGATTTTGCTGGTTCTAATGTATTTGGATTGCCATGCACATAACATCCTATTATGGCACAGTGCCTGTGAATGCCCCACCTGAAAACAGTGATGTATCTCCATGAATCCATCTTTTCCTTTCAAAACTGTGAATAAGATGGATGATTTTAGAGTTATACCCAAATCAGACAGACTCAATATAATGAGTTTGGAGAAAATCAGAAAGCAGAAGAGGAACAGTAACACTGACTGAGAAACTTCTTTTGTTTGCATCAGGAGACCCAACGACACTATGTCCATTTCCAACATCACAGTCTACATGCCCTCTGTGTTGACACTAGTAGGGATCCCAGGCCTAGAATCTGTGCAGTGCTGGATTGGGATTCCATTCTGTGCCATTTATCTCATTGCTATGATTGGAAATTCCTTGCTTCTGAGCATCATCAAATCTGAGCGCAGTCTCCATGAGCCCTTGTACATTTTCTTAGGCATGCTAGGAGCCACAGACATTGCACTTGCTAGCAGCATTATGCCAAAGATGCTTGGAATATTCTGGTTTAATGTGCCTGAAATCTATTTTGATTCCTGCTTGCTTCAAATGTGGTTCATCCACACATTGCAGGGTATAGAGTCAGGCATCCTTGTGGCCATGGCCCTGGACCGTTATGTGGCCATCTGTTATCCACTAAGACATGCCAACATCTTCACCCACCAGCTTGTCATTCAGATAGGAACTATGGTCGTACTCAGGGCTGCTATTCTTGTAGCCCCATGCCTAGTACTGATAAAGTGCCGGTTTCAATTTTATCACACAACAGTCATCTCCCACTCCTACTGTGAGCATATGGCCATTGTGAAACTAGCAGCAGCAAATGTTCAAGTCAACAAAATCTATGGTTTGTTTGTGGCCTTCACTGTAGCAGGATTTGACCTCACATTCATCACATTGTCCTACATCCAGATATTTATCACAGTTTTTCGTTTGCCCCAGAAGGAGGCTAGGTTTAAAGCATTCAATACCTGCATTGCTCACATCTGTGTCTTCCTCCAGTTCTACCTCCTTGCCTTCTTCTCCTTCTTCACACATAGGTTTGGGTCTCACATCTCCCCTTATATCCATATTCTCTTTTCTAGCATTTACTTGCTGGTCCCTCCATTTCTCAATCCACTTGTCTATGGTGCAAAGACCACACAGATTCGCATTCATGTGGTAAAAATGTTCTGTTCATAAAATCCACCTTAATTAATGCCTACATGCTTTTTTCTTTTGCAGTAGTAACCATATCAAAACAAAACAAAAAACATATTATTTGAGATGCTGGGTTTGTGAAATCTGCCAGCACAATAGCTGGTTTTAGATCATCATGGCTCATATCAATCAGTGGGATTGTGAATTCTACGTGACTAATGAAAGTGAGAAGTGTGAAATGAGTGAAGTAGTGAATATATATTATTTTTTCTCTTTTATTCTTTAGCCCCTGGTTGAGTTATTCTTCTAAGAATATTTCTCCAGGAGGATTTATAAATTATGCCTTTGTCACTGAATTTAAATGCACCTAAGGCTCGTTGTTCTGAAACATCCAGGGACTCAATGAAAACAAGTTGTTGACTCTCATTTTCTTGATCATCCCTGCCTTAAAAAAAAAAATCAAAGGAAGTACATGTTAACTGTGTTCTTGTCAAAGAAAATCTTATGAATATCAAGAGACAATAAAGCCTAAAAATTTAAATACATTTTCAGAGTCATACAAGGAATTACAGGCACAAAAATTAGAACCAGGTGTTGCATTTGACACATCAATGTTGTTGTTTTTTTTTTTGCTAACCTCAAAATTTACTTCTTTATTAATTCATCATTTTATCAAAAACCTGCAATATTAAAAATACTATACTACAGAATCGTGACATAATAGTAAATCTGGCACAGTGAATAATTCTCATGAGTTTGTACCTATGTAATTCTGGAAAAGAGAGACTGAAAGGAAGAGAGGTGGGGAATGGGCAGGCAAGGGAAAGAAGAGAGAAATAACAAGTGTACACATAGGATGTGGAGTTCAGAGAGAATGAAGCATTGAAATCTAACCAAAGCAGGGGAGTTGCATTTATTGTATTTTGTTTTTTGGTTAGGTAGTTACCTCTGATTCTTGAGGAATGATGGATGAGTAGCCAAGGAAGTAAGAACACATCATGCCAGGTAGATAGTAGAGGAGATTTAAACTAGATAATGTAGTTTAAGGTAACTCTAGTTTTTTCAATATGGTATGAGTGCAAGGTAGAACTTGGGGAGACAAGGAAAATATGAATATCAAAAATGGCTATTAATGTTGTGCAGAGTTGCTGGACTTTATTCCAAAAGCTATAATGTGCCATTGGAGAGTATTCATTTGTTTGCTTGTGTTCTACAAGTAAGACGTGTGTGTGTGTGTGTGTGTGTGTGTGTGTGTGTGTCTGCTTGGGCATGTGGCAGCATACCACACAGCAAATATAAATAAGTCTAGGGCTATTGTGTTAGTGAAGAGGAGGACTATATTGTCTAAAATTAGTGGCATAAGAATTTACGGCTAGTCAATTGTTCTTGAAAAACCTCAGGTCATAGATCATTTTTTTCAAGGTTATGGAAAATATTCACATATGGGCAGATGTCCATACTTTGATTTACCAGATTAAAACCACTGCAAATATAAGAAATATTGGATTGCTTGTCATACACCCACCTGGTGGATCCTCTGGCTTCACGGATTAGGACTTAGCAGATATCCATGGCTGTTGAGAATGATTATAGAGGCTATCTTAAGGGATCTTTTGAGACTGTTTCAAGTTTCAATATCTACTAGAGCTAATTTTATTGGATTACCAATAGGGATGGTTTTTCTTAAGTAACATAATTTTCTCAAAAATAAAATAGCCTCTGATGTTATTTCTTAATATTTTAGCCAGAATTCAGCAAACTTTTACATAAATGGCCAAATAATATATAGCTAAGGCTTTATGGAAAAAGAGGCAAATTCAAGAATATCATGTAGGCATTAATATAACAAGATAGAAAAATGTATGTCCACAAATAATTTTTATGAAATTCAAACAATATTAACAATAATAATTGCATTGTCTTTAATTAAAGAAGGTCTACTAATTAAAATAATAGAATCCATTTTTTTTTTCTACAGAGTAACAAAGTGTAGCTGAAAGTTAGAGTTTCCCCATCACCAAATTGATTACAAATATTCATCTGTAAAAATCATTCTTAACTAGTGGACTATAGAAAACAGGAAGTAGGCCAGGTTTGGGATGTTTAACAATGACCACTTTAAGCAGCACCACCAAAAATATGTGGTAATATAGGTCCAACAAAGAGACACAATGTGAAACTACAACATATTTGCACCATCTCCGAATTTTAATATCTCATAAAATATGTAGTCCAGAGTTCATATTGTTTAATTACTGTAGTCTTCAAATTTCAGGATCAGTCCCAAGCTGAGACTTACTAATAGAAAACAGAAGAAACAAATAGGTCATTACAAGGAAAAGAGGATAACCAGGACCCTCTAACCTCCCACACACTTGGACGGGGACAATTATTGAAAAAAAATCTTTAACATAAAATTGCTTGAAAGATAATAATATTTTTTGTAAGGATAATTTTCAAGAAAGGTTTCTAGAAATCATAAAATTAACTTCCAGGAGATTACATCAATTTCAACAATGACTAAAATAATGTTTGCCTAAATTCTTAACAACACTAGTTATTACCGATATTTACCTTTGACAGTTTGATAGGTGAAATATGATTCCCTTTATAATTAGCATTTAACAAAGAAATATTTGTGCTGCTATCTTCTTTTCCGTTTGTACATTCTTTATGTGAAGTACTTCATTGTTTCCTTTGTTCATTTTTCTAATTTGTGTCCATTTATTTTCTTCTTGAGTTTAAAATTTGATGAGTAAATATTGAATTATTTCCAAGGGCTTTATTGCTCAGGACTTTACCAGAGGATTTCCAATAGGCTATTGGCATTTTCTAGTAGAAGTGACTTCAGGCATAAAGAAGAAAAGAAAAAGTAAAAAGTCTTAACATTGGAGACCTTTGACCTATTAGGAGCAGAACGCTTGGTGAAAAAAAAAAAATGCTTTCAGGCCGGGTGCGGTGGCTCACGCCTGTAATCCCAGCACTTTGGGAGACGGAGGTGGGTGGATCATGAGGTCAGGAGTTCAAGACCAGCCTGGCCAAGATGGTGAAACCCCATCTCTACCAAAAATACAAAAAATTAGATGGGCGTGTTGGGGGGGTGCCTGTAATCCCAGCTACTCGGGAGGCTGAGGCAGGAGAATTGCTTGAACTCGGAGGGCGGAGGTTGCGGTGACCCGAGATGGTGCCACTGCACTCCAGCCTGGGTGACATAGTGAGACACCGTCTCAAAAAAAAAAAAAAAAGATTTCAGGAACTGAACCTTCTAGCTTTTTGCAGCCCTTCATTTAAATGTTCAATTTGGGAAAAATAACTTACAACATTTGGCTCATTTCCACCCTTCTTGGTAGAGAACTGTCCTTTGGCAACAAGCCTTCTATGCTGATATTCCTAAGCGGTCTCCATTTCAATGTGAGAATACATCAATATTACCCTCAATTTATTGTTAAATGGACGACCTTTTGAGATTTGGTTAGCAGGCCTATTTGGCTTTAATACTAAGCTGTATGCCTGTATTTAAACAGTATTAAAAATGCAAGTGATTCCTAGCTACTCCTGAGGCTAAGGCAGGAGAATCGCTTGAACCCGGGAGGCAGAAGTTGCGGTGAGTCGAGATGTCTCCACTGCACTCCAGCCTGGGCGACAGAGCAAGACTCTGTCTCCGAAAAAAAAAAAAAAATACAGGTAATATTTTGTCCTACCACATCTATTTATAATTTCTAAAATTGCTCAGAATTTGTATTAATAAGGATTCTTCACAGTACAAAACCAATAGGTTATGCATACATATATGTATATACACATATATGCAGATATGTATACCTATACATATATATCTGTATCTATGTATCTATATGAGATAGATTAATTTTAAGAACCTGACTCACACAGTTATGAAGGCTGGCAAATCCAAAATCTGCAGGGAGAGCCTATAGGCTGGAGACTCAGGGAAGAGCCAGTGTTGTAATTTAAGTCCAAAGGCAGTCTCCTGGCAGAATTCTCTCTTGATTGGGGCAAGTCAGTCTTTTGTTCTATCCAGGCCTTCAACTGCTTGGAAGGCACATTATAAAGGTCAATATGCTTTACTCAAAGTTTATTAATTTAAATGCCAGTCTCATCCAGAAATACCCACACAGAAACATCCAGAATAATATCTGACCAGAATCTGGGCATTGTGCCCCAATCAAATTGACACATACAACTATTCAGTGTGAAAAAACCAAGGCAGAGAGCAGGTAAGTACAGCACCTCCCCACACCAGAGACTCAACATCATGGTTTACAAGTTACTAAAGAATAATATTGGGACAAAATAAAGCTTGTAGGAATTCATCCACGTTCAACCATTGATGTGCTGATCTCAGTGTTGTAAAGATATCAATTCTCCTTAAATTTAATCTAGAAATGTAGAGTAATCTTAAGCAGAATGCTGTCAGACTTTTCTGGCATAAGTGCAAATGCTTTAAAAAAATATTTAATTAAAGAAGTAAAAACTGAAAGTGAAATGTATGATAGAGTTCTGATAAATACCTCTGCCCTATATTCTAAGATTTCAGATTTAGATGATGACTCTCTAAAGAGTCGAGGATGGGAACAGAGGACAGTAACTGTGGTCGCCTCCATGCAAGGTCTGAGACTAACATACACAATGACAATTGCACAACCTTTATTTGTAGTGAACACAACTTTTTAACATGAAAAATCCTAAGGAATATACAAATACAACAGATATCATGAATTAGTAAGTGAATTTAGCAAGTTTTAATGTAGGAAGTCTATGTAAAAATTGTTTGTAAATCTACATACTGGAATCCAGTAATTAGAAAATAACAATAGTTTGCCATAAAGTGTAAAAACATAAGATACATAATTTATATTTATGCATACAATAAAATACAAGAATTTTACACTGATAATTACAAGACATTGTTGAAAGAAAGGCAAAATCTAAAGAAATAGAGAGCTGTTCCATATTCATGGATTGGAAATCTCATTATTGTTAAAATGTTAATTTCCTTAAAGTCATCTAAAGATTCAAAGCAATCCCAAATATAATCATAACAACCTTTTGTTTGCCATGAATTGAGAAGGTAATTTTATATTTTACATGGGAATTCAAAGGACCTACAGCCAAAGCAATCTCAAAGAATAAATGTTGATTACTGAGAATACCTGACATCAAGACTTACTACAAAATTCTAATAATAAAGACAGTGTGATATCAGCATGAGAACAGCTAATGAAACACAACAGAGAGCCTGTAAGTAAGCCCACATTTGTACAATCCATTGATTTTATACAAAAGTATCAAAGCAATTCAATGGAAAATAGAAAGCCTTTTAAACAAAATTAGATATTCATATATATCTATATATATTTTACAAATATATATATGTTCAATCTAAAAATTTATTTAATACCACACAAAATATAGGATGTATATTTATGGGATAATATAGAAGTGAAAAATAAGGCTTCTAGGAAGAAAAAATCAGAATACCTTAATATATTGAGGATTGGCAAAGATTTCCTTCTTACGACACAGGAAGCAACAAGATATAACCTTATCAACAATTTCGACTACAGCAAAAGTATACTGCTAAGAAAATTAACAAGCAATAAACAGACTAAAATCATGCAAAAAAACTTAAATCTGAATTATATAAGTATTTTTTAAATTTTATATAAATAACTCATAACTCCATGTAAAAGACAAAAATGTGCAAAACATTTTACTAGACACTTCATAAATAAACTAATAAGCTATGCAAAAGTATGGATCATAATTTAGAAAAAAACTTTTTAGTGAGTAAAACTGATTAGTTCATATTTTAGTATTTATATGATGTTCTAGTGTGTCTGGAATTGGTGGGTTCTTGGTCTCACTGACTTCAAGAATAAAGTCGCGGACCCTCGCCGTGAGTGTTACAGTTCTTAAAGGCAGCGTGTCCGGAGTTTGTTCCTTCTGATGTTCAGATGTGTTCGGAGTTTCTTCCTTCTGGTGGGTTCGTGGTCTTGCTGGCTCAGGAGTGAAACTGCAGACCTTCACAGTGAGTGTTACAGCTCTTGAGGTGGCGCGTCTGGAGTTGTTCGTTTCTCCCGGTGGGTTCGGGTCCGGCTGGCTTCAGGAGTGAAGCTGCAGACCTTCGCGGTGTTACAGCTCATAAAGGCAGTGTGCACCCAAAGAGTGAGCAGGAGCAAGATTTATTGCAAAGAGAGAAAGAACAAAGCTACCACGAGCTTGCCACTGCTGGCTCGGGCAGCCTGCTTTTATTTGCTTATCTGGCCCCACCCACATTCCTGCTGACTGGTAGAACCGAGTGGTCTGTTTTGACAGGGCGCTGATTGGTGCATTTACAATCCCTGAGCTAGACACAAAGGTTCTCCACCTCCCCACCAGATTTGGTAGATACAGAGTGTCCACACAAAGGGTCTCCAAGTCCCTACCAGAGTAGCTAGATACAGAGTGTGGACTGTTGCATTCAGAAACCCTGAGCTAGACACAGGGTGCTGATTGGTGTGTTTACAAATCTTGAGCTAGATACAGAGTGCCGATTGGTGTATTTACAATCCCTGAGCTAGACATAAAGGTTCTCCACGTCCCCACCAGACTCAGGAGCCCAGCTGGCTTCACCCAGTGGATCCCACACCGGGGCTGCAGGTGGAGCTGCCTGCCAGTCCCACGCCCTGCGCCCGCACTCCTCAGCCCTTGGGTGGTCGATGGGACTGGGCGCCCTGGAGCAGGGGGCGGCGCTCGTCGGGGAGGCTCCGGCCGCACAGGAGCCCAAGGGGTGGTGGGGGAGGCTCAGGCATGGCGGGCTGCAGGTCCCGAGCCCTGCCCCGCGGGAAGGCAGCTAAGGCCCGGCGAGAAATTGAGCACAGCAGCTGCTGGCCCAGGTGCTAAGCCCCTCACTGCCCAGGTGCTAAGCCCCTCACTGCCCAGGGCCGGTGGGGCCGGCCGGCTGCTCCGAGTGCGGGGTCCGCCGAGCCCACGCCCACCCGGAACTCGCGCTGGTCAGCAAGCGCTGGGCGCAGCCCTGGTTCCCGCCCACGCCTCTCCCTCCACACCTCCCTGTAAGCTGAGGGAGCTGGCTCCGGCCTTGGCCAGCCCAGAAAGGGGCTCCCACAGTGCAGTGGCGGGCTGAAGGGCTCCTCAAGTGGGGCCAAAGTGGGAGCCCAGGCAGAGGAGGCGCCGAGAGCAAGCCAGGGCTGTGAGGACCGCCAGCACGCTGTCACCTCTCACTAGGACAGGTAAAATTAATTGAAAGTAATTTTTTTTTTTAAACAACAATGCTTTCCCCTGAAAAAGTAGGAATGGTCATGTTGGGAAAACTTTCTGGAGTGCAGGAAATATTTTATATCTTGATAGGATAATGAGTAACGTATTTGCAAAAAATAAGCTTAAGATCAATTTATTTTACTGTCTTTTCTTAGTAACAAAAGAGTAGTATAAACAAACACCAAACAGCTATTACATTTGCTTTTCATAGTAATATTGGCTAGCCATATGGGAGTTATTTACTGGGTATTCTAGGCTTGAAGAAATGAGAAAAACTGTTGAGGATAATGGAGGATAATTTTTATACTTGTGAAGAAAATAATTACTTGTAAGTAAAGTATTGAGACTAGAAAGAATCTTGAAGGTTTGGATTCCAATTGCAATTGCAAGTATGGATTCATTGTTTTTAATAAAGAGAGATACAAACATATGCAAATGTAATTATATAATTGTGTGTGTGTGTGTGCATGTATTTCCTCTGTTCACTTATAGGAACCAAAAGCAATGAACAAACAATGGCAATGAATAAACAATCCTTGTTTCAAGATACTGATTTTCTTAATAACTTTGTTCACAGAAAGAGACCAGGGCTTTTCGGAAAAATATCTGTTTCTGTGGCTTGAGCTGAAAAAGCATAAAGTAATTTGAAATGATGATGCAGAGATAGAAAGTAAGGAAGTACTCAAAGCATGATTGGAACATGTGGAAAGGACCCAAGATCTGGTTGGAAGGAGCTCCTTATGGCAAAATTTAGAAAATTTTGAGCATCAAAATAAATAATTATGGCAAAGGATTATAGCCCATTGAATAAAATCAGATTCTGTGAATCTATACAAACATAAGTAAAGCAATACAAATTTGGGAAAAGGGAATGTTCTTCTTTACAGTGTAATGCCAATAAATAAATAGGAAAGGTATGATGGATTTAAAAATTCATAAACAGAATAAAAAAACTCATGAGTGAAAGTGTTCAGAGGAGTGGACTATTTAAATCGTCTCAATAAATATATTTTTTCACAGATTTCTATGAAATACAAAGAGAAAAATAGCAACTTACCAAGAATCCAGAGTGACATCCCATTAACCAAGTGACTGAAACTAACCACATTAATATTAGAACATATCAGCATCATGTGATTAATGATATGGTGAACAGAGAAAGGCTATATTATTCTGCGATATTAAAAACAAACAAGCAAAACAGCATAGCCTGAATCCTAGTCATGAGGAAACACCAAAGAAACTTAAAATGATGGAAATTCTAAATAGTAAATGGATGTTCCTCAAAAATTCCACTATCAAGAAAGCGAAAGAAAAAAATTAAGAGGGAGGCAGTTTGGGGCTCTATAGAAAGAAGACCTCGTTGACTCTGGAAGCTGTCCTGCGATGTGGCACACTATCTCAGAAAAAAAACAAAAAAGAGAGGGAGAGAGTTTTCTGTCATGGGAAGGTTTCAGGCAGAGATCAAATGGTAACTTTAAAGATGATATAAAGGGATGAGATTTCTGATATTGTAGATAGTGTGGATTAACTCTAGGAGGGAGTGTAAATCTAGACTCCTAAATCCCTTAGTAGTTTTAGATCCTTGGAATTAGCTTGTATCAAAACTGGAGTGGTAGTTATTCAGGGTTTATTCACAGATCCAAGATATGAAAGAAAAGCTGAGGAGGTTTTGAAAATTCAAGAAGTCTAAAGAGACACGAAAATTAACTGCACTAGGTATTCCTGGATTGAATTCTGAAAAAAGAAAATATAGCTATAGATGTCATTGTTGAGACTATTGTCTAGCTTTAAACATGGACTTTATATTAGGTTATAATTTTATTTCAATGCTAACTGTCCTCATCTTGGTTATAATACCATAGTTATACAATGTAATGTCTTTTCCTTAGGAAATACAAACTTTAAAATTTAGATATAAAGGGTAACCATGTCTTCAATTTATTTGTAAACCATTCAGAAAAAAAAAATACTCCTTTTGCCTACCTACTGAACTAGTGATAAAGTACAATGGGGCAAAATATGAACAATTTGTGATAATGGGTACATGTGAATCTTTGTATACATGTTATAAGGGGAGCTGAGGCAGGAGAATAGTTTGAACCTGGGAGGTGGAGGTTGCAGTTAGCTGAGATTGCACCATTGCACTCCAGCCTGGACAACAGGGTGAGACTCTGCCAACAACAAAAAAGATTTTTCTATTATTTTATTGTTTTTTCATTAATATACTTTGGTTTTTGGATAAAATTTAGGTTTACAGAAAAACTGAGTAGAAAGTACAAAAGATTTCCATATATCCTTTCTACCCAGAATAAAGGTTTTGCATTTACATTTGAGCTATGCTTCCTTCTTGGTTATCAAATTACATCACCATATTTATTTATCATATCCTAATGTTTGAAAACATATATCTAGTGGTTTTTTTGTATAGTCTGTGTATACCATGCTAAGCCAATTATTATTTTTAATTGTGATATAATTCACATTCCAAATAATTAACCTGCTAAAGGTGTACAAGTCAGTGGATTTAGTATAGTCAGAAAATAATGCAACTATTACCACCCTGTAATTTCAGAACTTTTTTTTTTCCTTATTGAGATGGAGTCTCGCTCTGTCACCCAGGCTGGAGTGCAGTGGCATGATCTTGGCTCACTGCAACCTCCAGGTTCAAGTGATTTTCCTGCCTCGGCATCCCAAGTAGCTGGGACTACAGGCATGTGCCACCATGCCCAACTAATTTTTACAATTTTTGTTTGTTTGTTTTATGTATAGACAGGGTTTCACTATGTTGGCTAGGCTGCTCTCGAACTAATGACCCCAGGTTATCTGCCCACCTCAGCCTCCCAAAGCATTGAGATTACAGGCATGAGCCATCACACCCAGCCTCAGAACATTTTAATCACACCAATAATGAAATTCCATACCCACTGGCAGTCACTCCCCATTTCTTCCTGCTTCCAGATTCTGGTAATCACTCATCTACTTTCTGTCCCTATGGATTTGTGTATTCTGGATACTTCATATAAGTGGGTTTATACCACATGTTGCCTTTTATGTCTGGCTTCTTAGCGTAATCTTTTCAAGGTTCATTGATGTTTTAGCATAAGTCAGAACTTCATTTATCTTTGTGATTAATAGTCCATCATATAGATGACTCTACTTTTGAACTTAGTAGGTAATTCTCTGGCCAATATAAGCTTTTCCATGATCCCTTCTTTTTTTGCGTGGTAAAGACATCCATCTTAATTTGTAAAATTCTACATGTCATATACATATGGTCAGGCCTTTGTATTTTAAATTTTCGTATTTCATTAAAACATTTATTTTCACTAGATGAATTTTATCAACCATCCATAGTAAAAGCTATTCAAATTTTGTTTCTGTTGTATTTTAACTCAAATGCCTTGTTTCTGCTTTTCTCTGAAAAACGTGCAGATAGGAGTCTATTTTAAAAAACGCGTTTTATTTCCTATTACATTTTTCAGGGGTATACATTTCCATTAAAATGCTTATGCAAACCATTGTTTTTATTTATTAGCATGAGTACTAAGGATCCATATCAGTCACCAAAGTAGTGAGTCACATTGCGTCTAAAACAGATGTTTTCCCCATTGTTCCAATGGGTTTTAACTAAATAGTATCTAGTAATATTTTTTTCTCTAGTATTCTATAGCATTGTGATTCCTTGAGGTTCACATATTTTTTTGCATGTTTCCAAAAGTATCTTTGGAGCCATTCAGTAGGTCTATATTTGTTAGTTACTCTATAAATAATAAAGTAGTATTTAGATTTCAGAAGTGTACAGATTTTACCTGAGCCTACTTCATATCTATCTGAAAAGTATTTATCTTACTTTTCCTGAAAATATTTCATTTTATTTGGGGTTCATATGTTGTTATTTCTGTCAGGGATTGGCATTCTTATTTGCATTGTTTGTTCACTTTCCTGATGTAAATACTCCGGCTATGGCTGATGTCAAGCTACCAACGTGAAGTCAGTGAAAGCAAAGCTGGAAAGAGATGCTTGAAACCAGCTCTTATAGGCATGATATGAGCTGGTTCTAGTACATAACTGCTCTTAATTCAATACCATTGGTTTTTCTAGGTTGGATATAATTTTATGGGAGGTTACTGACAAGATGGAGTCACTGGCTCTTTATATGTAAAAAGAACAGGTCTCCTGAATAAGTCCAGACCCAATAAGACAGGAGAAAAGCATTGTGACTCTTGGCAAGAGCATATGTCTCAGGCAGATGCAAGAAATCCAGTCTTCAAGACTTCTAGTACTATGCAGAGAATGGGAATCTTTTCCCTCTCTCTACTTTAGGCCAAAGCTGTCAATCCCTTTTCCTTTTTCCTTTTTAATTGATGAGTAGAAATTGTATAAATCTGTGGTGTACAACATGATGTTTTGATAAATGTATACATTGTGGAATGATTAAATAGAACTGCTTATCAGTGACACGTGCATCTCACATATTTATCTTTTTTATTGTTGTGAGAACACTTAAAAACCTGCTCTTAGCAATTTTCAAGTATATATAATATGTTGATTAATTATAGTCACCTTGATGTACAATATAGCTCTTGAACTGATTTTCTCCATCTAACTGAAGTTTTTTGTCATTTCACCAACATTTCCCCAATCCTCCCATCTCCCAAAAGTCTGGTAACCATCAGTTTATTCTTTGTATTTATGAGTTCAACTTGTAAAATCCATTTTGTAAGTCACAAACTCTTTTTTCAACTGTAAAACCAAGTTTAGCCTAAAGTTGCCTCCTTACATATTTTAATTTCGGCCCAAGGGTTTCTCTGTATATTGTGAACTATAACAAGTGGAGGTATAAACAGACTGTAGCCTACGCTTGTGCTAATCACTGAGTTTTGGTCAATCAATTGTAGACACCTGCTCGAATCATGTTCAAATAAGGCAAACGCTAACCTGTAATCAATTCAGTTGTTTCTGTACTTCACTTCTCTTTTCTGTTACCTCAGTTTCCTTTTTCTGTCCATAAATCTTCCACCATGTGGCTGCGCTGGAGTCCCAGAGCCTACTCTTCTAGCTTGCGGGGAGGCTGCCCAATTTGCAAATTGCTCAGTTAAACTTTTCTAAATTTAATTTGGCTGAAGTTTTTCTTTTATCACAACTAAGGAAATAAACGTTAAAAATTCTAGTCCCCAACGCAAAGTTGATATAGATATTATGACTGCACTAACATTTTTGAAAAATACATATCATTGTGTCAGAATTCTGACATGACTGGGACAACTTGAGGAGAGCTGGTTTGTATATAAGAAAGATTTGTGTCACCAAAGTTCATGCAGAAGCCGCTCAGAGAGTGGCTGTGATTGGGGCCCTGAGGTACACTTTTCAAAGTCAGCCTCTTTCATGAACCTAATGAGAAATAATTGCTTATCATACTGGAATTAAACTACGAAAATATTCCTTTAATTATCTGTCAGCATTTGTCTACACTGATTAGTCTGAATATTTCAAGACGTTTTAATTTCCCTTTATTGGCTCATTATTTTTATAATTAAGTGCTGTGATGACATTGTCATCATGGTACACTGTCATCTCTTATGAATTTGTAAAAGGAGTTCATTTTGGTTCCAAGTCCTGAAGAGATTGAGTCTTTTTGGTTCTGTTTTGTATTTTTAGATACAGAGCTCGATTAGTTAATGAATCTTCTGAGTTCTTAACCATATTCCGCCTCTTGTTTCACTCTTGTCCCAAGTGGTCCTCCAGGCTGGCCAGAGATTTGTGAGACCCAATCCCAAAGGGGCCTTTTGTAATACAAAATGCTCAGGGTTCACTGCCTGAAACATAAACAAAAAAGAGTTCTCCTCTATGGCTTCTACTTATAAGTCCATTGATATCCCTGGTAAGTCTTTGAGCTTGAGATTCTGCATGGTATTTGGGAAAATGAAGAATTCATTCTAAAGAGGACATATGTCTCCTGCGATTCAATATGCCAGGATGATAAAAATGCAACAGAATCTTAAAATAGTTGAGTGTTCAAACTCTAAAATGATGTCTCATGGTATCTCATGCTTTTCAGAATATTTATGATCAGTCGATGAAATGCTGGGTGACATATTTTAAAGTGAGATTTAATAATGGGAGGACATCTAGAGAATGATTATCTGGGCTGATAAGCAAATGGAAAGCTTATTTGCTAAAAGCCAAGAAAATTGAACGTGCTTAGACTGGGGAAGATTTAGGAGAACTGCTCACTGTGTCATCAAATATGTGAAGTTATTTTATGGGATGAGAAGGATAAAGTCTTACAGAAAAATAGCCGGTGCCAATCAACACATTTTTGTTTATTTCTCAATATTTGAAATGGATTGTGTCATTAATTTTTACAATCACTCTGTAATGTGTCTCTTTCTATTTTACCAATGAGGAAACTGAGGTAGTTAGAATTTCACAACTGGCTCAAGGGCATGCAAGGCCAAGCAATAGCAGGTCTAGGATTTGACCTCTTTTGACCAGCTTCAGGTTCTGTAGAATTCACTGCTATTATCTATGACTGGTGTCTATTATTAAAATGTAGATTTCAGACCTTTATGAGAAATTAAGAGGGAGGCAGTTTGGAGCTCTATATAAAGAAGACCTCGTTGACACTGGAAGCTGTCCTGCGATGTGGCACACTATCTCCGAAAAAAAAAAAAAGAGAGAGAGGGAGAGAGTTTTCTGTCATGGGAAGGTTTCAGGCAGAGATCAAATGGTAACTTTAAAGATGATATAAAGGGATGAGATTTCTGATATTGTAGATAGTGTGGATTAACTCTAGGAGGGAGTGTAAACTTAGACTCCTAAATCACTTAGTAGTTTCAGATCCTTGGAATTAGCTTGTATCAGAACTGGAGTGGTAGTTATTCAGGGTTTATTCACACATGCAAGATGTAAGTTTCTAGCGTGTTGACTTTGGCCCAGGAATTTCAAGGGCTTTGGGAAGTTTTCTTCTTCCTTTAAACATATGCATATTTGTGCAAACAAAGTTGTTCCCCAGGCTGCCTTTTCTTATCCAGTGCAGTAATTCTCAGTCCAAGAACATGTTTTGCCTCATCTCTCAATGTACCCTTACATCATGTTGGTGAGTCCTCACAGATTTTGATTTGTTGTTAATCCTTCACTATTGTCACATTACTTTATAATATCCCATCTGGACTATCACAAATACCTTTCTAACAAGATCTTACTATGCCCTTGCTCTCATTCCCTTAAAATCATTTGCTAACCTGCTAGCAGATAGAATTTTTAAAAGGCCAAAGGTCTGGCCTATCACTTACAAACTTTTATTACTTGGCTTAAAATAGTAACTTTACATTTGATCCTTTCCCTTTTACATTTAACCAACTATTATTTCTGTTTATGAATGAATTTATGTAGTAAAATATTTATTGATATGTATTTCCAGCATGTGTTTCATACTTCTGTGATTTTATACAAACTATTTTGTCTTTAAAGAATGCCCTTGTCTATCTCCTTTATCTGGCCAATATCTACTGAAAAAATATTTCCCTCAATACCCAGTTTTATTCTGCCCAGTTTGATTTAACATACATAAATTCATCAATCTTTATTTAATTAAGGGCTTATTTTCCCCTCTAATGTGAAGTCTTAGGTTATAACTGCTAGCAACCAGAGATATGTCCCTCTTCATGCATCCAAGGGACATTTGGCAATGCTTGAAGGCATTTTTTATTGTTGCTACAAGGAAGTGCTACTGGCATTCAATGGATAGGAGCCAGAGATGCTGCTAAACCTTTTACCAAACAGATGACATCTCCCACAACAAATAATTTATTTGGCTTAAGATGTCAGTGCTGAGATTGAGAAAGTCTGCCCTAGAAAAACAAATTAGGCCTAATGGAAGGTGGAAGTGGAGGTGGAAATAGAAATGGAAATGAAAAACTATCCAGAAGAAAGGTCATTATTTTCTCAACATGGTCTATGGGCTTTTTGATTGAAGGCTTGCTTTTCTTTTTTATTCACTTGCTATTTTGTTCACTTGCTTCATCGTCTCTTTTTGCTGTCTTTTCTCTGACTACTCAGTATATACATTGTCAAAGTTTGAATTTGTATGTTACCTTTCAAAGAGTCTCCAGCTCAACTATTACTCATGTGGCCCTGTTAGATTAATCAGAGCAATATTTCTGATAAAGGCAATAATAAATATTTTTGAGCCAAATTGGAGATTATTGCCCAGTATATATGTCAACAAAGAGTCAAACTCTGTAAGATATTTGAAGATATTTATTCCGAGCCAAATATAAGTGACCATGGCCTGGGACGCAGTGCTCAGGAGGTCCTGAGAACATGTGCCCAAGGTAGTCTGGGTGTACCTTGGTTTTATACATTTTAGGGAGACATGAGACTTCAATAAAATACATTTAAGAAATACATTGGTTAGGTCCAGAAATCAGGGGTGCTTCCAGGTTTGTAGGTAGGTTTAAAATTTTTCTAACTGGCAATTAGAAAGGAATATCTGAGTTGCAGTAAGAGGTTATGGAGATCAAAGTTTTATCATGCAGATGAAGCCTCTGGGTAGCAGGCTTGAGAGAGAACAGATTGTAAATGTTTCTTATTAGACTTAAGGTCTGTGTTGATGTTAATGCTGGAGAGATGTAATGGGGCATGTCTCACCCCCACTTCCCTTCATGGCCTGAACCAGCCTTTCAGGTTAAATTTTAGAGTGCCTTGGATCAGGAGAAAGTCCATTCAAATGGTTGAAGGGACTTAAACTTTTATTTTTTATTTACATTTGGATGGTATGTTGTTCAAGAAGTGGACATATATCAAACAGGTAGCATATAATAAACGTGTTCTGTACTGTGCGTCCTATACCTATGTGATAAATTAAAGTGATTGGGGAGTAATGTCCATCAGAATCTTAACAAGCTCAGTAATGAAAATAGTTGGTATATTTTTACATTACCCAGCCTCATGTAATTACCCTCTGATACATATATCTTGTAATCCTTATTTATTGGATTATATTTATAAAATCTTGACCAGGCTTGGTGGCTCCCGCCTGTAATCCCAGCACTTTGGGAGGCTGAGGCAGGAGGATCACAAGGTCAGGAGATTGAGACCATCCTGGCTAACATGGTGAAACCCCGTCTCTATTAAAAATACAAAAAATTAGCCAGGCATGGTGACGGGTGCCTGTAGTCCCAGCTACTCAGGAGGGGAGGCTGAGGCAGGAGAATGGCGTGAACCCGGGAGGCGGAGCTTGCAGTGAGCCGAGATCGTGCCACTGCACTCCAGCCTGGGCGATAATCTCAAAAATAAGTTAAAAAAATAAAAATTAAAAAATCTCAGAGGACAGAAATTTGCATATTTTGTTCTTTCTGGGTAAATACAGCATAAAATTTTGATCCAAGTGTATTTACTTATAACAAGTTCTAGACTTTCATTAATATAATCAACCATATTAATATTAATATATTAATATAATCAATGCTAATTTCATAAATTAAGAATGGTAAAACAATGTAAAATGTTTAAAGATTTTAACTGAGTGATATTTAACACATATTTAATAAATGGTACATGTTACTTTTTGAAGTCCACACATTCAGCAAAATGTAGATAATTAATAAATATGGAATAAATAAATTTATCTTTGTTTCTCAATTGCTTCAAACAATATTTGGATCATAGTGGATACTTAATAAATCTTTGTTAATTAAAATCATTAAATAATAAACCTCTAATTTATTTTTTGGATAAGTTTTATGGAAAGAAAGAAAGAGATGCTTCTGTAATTGCTGGAGATAGCTTATACATGCTCTTTCACTTCCCAGAAACAATGTAAGTATATCGGGGAAAAAGAAAAAATTAAACAAATAGACAATTGAAAGGTGATGAGGCTGGCAGGTTGGTGAGATTTTTCCTTGTTGGCCCCCCACTACTATCTTTATCTATTTTGCAGTCTACTTAAATTATTTCAGAGAGTGAGTTTTGCAATTACTAAAAGAAAATACAGGTAATATGTAAATTATTTAATATTTCACATATTTTGTGATGCAAGTATTTTCTTGAAGCAGAGATTAATTCAGACAATAAAAAGCCCTTGAGCTTTGGATGATGAGAAGGCAAAGCCACTCTACACTGACACTTGTCCCCTGGTAACAGAGATAGAAGGCTCTGGAAGCCTAGAGTGTTACATGCTGGAGTTACCAGTGAAGGGCAGAGACAGAAAAGAGTATCGAAACAGTCCTATGCAAAATAACGTGCCAAAGAAAATCTTCACCTTTATATAAATAATTGTATTTGAGTAGATAGAAGATGTATAGATATATAAAGTTTTATGTAAAGAAAAAAATTATAATATTTCTTAGAGAGTTTCATGTAATTTCAAGTTGTTAAGAAGAGATGATGGTTCAGGCTTAGGGAGGTAACAATGCCTATTTCTAGGTAATGAAAATTAGAGGGTATATGTTGGCACTTGATATTAATACAAGAGATGTGCACATGGCTGAGCATGGTAGGTGAGAAGAAGCTTTGATAGGAAGTGCTGAAGAAAAGACCCATGAATTCAAAAATAAGGAATTAATTTTGTTAGAGAATGCACAGGACAATGTATAAGATATATGATTGGGTTTTGAGAAGACACTGAAAGTTTGAAAAATTAGGTTGAAAGAATTTTGAGCCTATATGAGAAAAAGACTACAAAAAACCTAACCTGGAAAAAAAAAAAAAACAGCCAGTGGATTTCAAAACTAAAGAACATTTCAGTCAAACTTGTCTTCTGATTATGACCAGAATGGTCTACAGCACTGTGGATCCTTTCTTTTTTTTTTTTTTTTTTTTTTTTGACAGTCTCGCTCTGTCGTCCAGGCTGGAGTGCAGTGGTGTGATCTTGGCTCACTGCAAGCTCTGCCTCCCGGGTTCATGCCATTCTCCTGCCTCAGCCTCCCAAGTAGCTGGGACTACAGGCGCCTGCCACCACACTGGCTAATTTTTTGTATTTTTAGTAGAGATGGGGTTTCACCGTGTTAGCCAGGATGGTCTCGATCTCCTGACCTCGTGATCCACCCACCTTGGCCTCCCAAAGTCCTGGGATTACAGGCGTGAGCCACTGTGCCCGGCCTGTGGATCCTTTCTTTATGGCTAATGTAGATGAAGTCTAGTTTTAAAATTCTTTGCTCTGCATTAAATAATATTTTTTTTTTACAATTTCAATTGGTAAGTCAAAGAAAAAGCACATAATGCTGAGTAATAAACATAAAATATTGTTGATCCAATAGTCATGAACCAGAAAAAAGCCGTCTAATCCATTTAATTTTGCCCATTGAAAATGATTAAGACATGGAGAAACAGAACCTGATGTTTGTCTTTCAGTGACTTTGGTAAAGGAGACAGAAAATTAGAGAAGATTAGTTAGAATAGAAAATACAACATGATACACTCCTAAAATAACTACAGTATATTTTCCTAAAATAAATTAACATATTTTTAATTTTTAATTCATCAAGGCTCAACAGAGAATAGAAGATGAAACAGCAAATCTACCACTTGATTCTGATGAACAAATCATGCCGACATTCAATGGCTCAGTCTTCATGCCCTCTGCGTTTATACTAATTGGGATTCCTGGTCTGGAGTCAGTGCAGTGTTGGATTGGGATTCCTTTCTCTGCCATGTATCTTATTGGTGTGATTGGAAATTCCCTAATTTTAGTTATAATCAAATATGAAAACAGCCTCCATATACCCATGTACATTTTTTTGGCCATGTTGGCAGCCACAGACATTGCACTTAACACCTGCATTCTTCCCAAAATGTTAGGCATCTTCTGGTTTCATTTGCCAGAGATTTCTTTTGATGCCTGTCTTTTTCAAATGTGGCTTATTCACTCATTCCAGGCAATTGAATCGGGTATCCTTCTGGCAATGGCCCTGGATCGCTATGTGGCCATCTGTATCCCCTTGAGACATGCCACCATCTTTTCCCAGCAGTTCTTAACTCATATTGGACTTGGGGTGACACTCAGGGCTGCCATTCTTATAATACCTTCCTTAGGGCTCATCAAATGCTGTCTGAAACACTATCGAACTACAGTCATCTCTCACTCTTACTGTGAGCACATGGCCATCGTGAAGCTGGCTACTGAAGATATCCGAGTCAACAAGATATATGGCCTATTTGTTGCCTTTGCAATCCTAGGGTTTGACATAATATTTATAACCTTGTCCTATGTCCAAATTTTTATCACTGTCTTTCAGCTGCCCCAGAAGGAGGCACGATTCAAGGCCTTTAATACATGCATTGCCCACATTTGTGTCTTCCTACAGTTCTACCTTCTTGCCTTCTTCTCTTTCTTCACACACAGGTTTGGTTCACACATACCACCATATATTCATATCCTCTTGTCAAATCTTTACCTGTTAGTCCCACCTTTTCTCAACCCTATTGTCTATGGAGTGAAGACCAAGCAAATTCGTGACCATATTGTGAAAGTGTTTTTCTTCAAAAAAGTAACTTGATCGTTAGTGACTCCTATAGAGATTTAGGGTTGGTTCTAAGTAAAAACCTAAATATAATGAAAGTCACAGATCAATATTCTCAAACTACTAGCTCAACACATACCTGTAATTCTAGCTATGTCTCACTTTTTAGTATTTGCTTTGAATCTATATTTTGATAAATTTGGAATCATTTATCTGTGTCTTATTTACTTTATCTGAAATACTTATCAATATAAAAATAATATGAAATCAGTAATACCGATATCTACAACATAAAACTTATGTAATGCAACCAATGACTATAAACACTAAGGAATTTACACAGGAGAGAATGCAAAAAAAATTGAAAAATATTAAACATATTCACAAATATCATTTTCAGGAAAATAAAATCAGTGATCTGGGCTTACATATCAAATATCCTTCTAGAACCACACAATTTTATTGATTTTTACCTAACTTGAGTTTTACTCAAATTTGGAAGTTTAAGTTCTAAAATTGAACATACAAATTCTGTTACCCACTGAAAGCATCTTGAGTACAGAAACTATCTTATTTACCCTTTATCAGGAAAACAGTGGACAATGCCTGAGAATTCTTAGAATCTAAGTAAAAATGACATTGAATAATGAACAGAGTAAACATTTTCTTTGTGTCAATTAATGGTATTCAAAAGCCACAAATTTGGAGGCTCTAAGTAATATGCAATCTTACCATACAGAAAACCATGCTAGAGATTTTATTCCAATATTATCAGGGTAAAAGAAAGGTGAAGACTTGAAATAATCATTATGCAAACCTGAAATAATATATTAGCTAAACACAGAACTGGCATATAAGAAACCACCTCCTGAATAAGGACTTTAGTCAAGACTTAGAACCAAACAAATTTTTTTTTCCTTAAGAATCAAGTTGACAGAGTCATCTGAATCACTAATTTTGAAAAGATGCATGGTCAAAGAAAGAAATAATATGGTAAAACGTTCTGATGTAAAAAATCATATCATTCAAGAGGCAGACATAGATACATACAATTTTGGGGAAAAATCTTGTCAATAATGTAGAAATGACTTTGAGTCATAATTTTTTTAATAAAGTTTATGTAAACATTATATTTAGAAAGAATCAAAAATACATGACAAAAGATAAAACAACATGTTAGTTGATAGGCAGACATATTAAAAATTGTTGAATTAGATAAGCAAAACTTAATAATGAAATAACCATTTTAATTCTGGATTAGAGCATTAAATATTTCAGTGGTTGTGCCATTAATAACGCAGAATGAATAATTAATGAGGAGTCATTCTCCCAAAAGAAAAAAAAATCATAAATATATGAATTCTTTCAGAAAAGTTAGTATACATGAAGGATAAAGAATGAAGATAATAAGTAAGTGATACTCCTAAATAAGAAACCAAAACAAACAATATGATGATAACTACAGATTAATCATGAGTGAATGAAAAAACTGTATTTCAAAGTATCTGGTATAAAAATGCACCAAATTATATAAATGAAAATAGACAAAACACCCATATTGGAAAAAAATCAACAGAAAATAAAAATTTCAACATAGGTCTATCAGAAAAAAACACATTACATATCCTAAAAGACATATTTTTTTTTCATTCTCTGGAGTATGAGGGAAGACAAACAACAAAGATCTTAAAAATGCACATTATCTAATGGAAAAAAATTAAATGAAAAATTTGTGTCATAATTAGACTGTGGGTTGGCATTTCAAGCCATTTAAACCTGTAATTAATAAAAAGAACAATTACAGTGCATAATAATATTACTAGTTTCTGAAACAATGTTGTCCCTGTCCAGTGTTCTCTGCTAAAGAAACCCCAGCTGAAGCAATTTCCACATGGAGTACAGCACCTGGTCCAGCTGATTTCAGCTAGGTCCCAGTCAGCACACAGATCTGTTTGACTTCTTGGTTGCTTTTTGGTCTTCTTTACAGGTCAAATTTGTTCCATGCTGAAGATCTGGGTTCATATTACCTTTTTTTAAGGTATAAAAAAAGACCTGGCCTCAAAATGAGGTTGTACACGTAGTTTCTGAGAGTCTGCTCCATTGCTCTTCAATTGAGGGCTCTGGCTAATTGGATGCAGAATCCGAGATAAAGGACAGCCACCTACAGCAGCTAGAGGGCTGAGATATGAGTCAGACTGATATGCCCTGACTATGATGCAATGAACATCTTAAAAAGAGAAATTTATTCCAAGAATAAATTGTTTGAGGGCTCGAAGGGATTGCCTTAAGTTAAAGATGGATAAATAGGTATCCTAGCTAGGAATCAAAAAGGTCTGAGTTTCTCCATTACCCTTCCTTTAACATTCTACATACTCCTGGGCATGTTATTTCCTCTTCTCTACAATGGGGCTAACAATACGAGCCTCAGAGACTTGTGAGGAATATGTGAGAAAAGGCTCACCAAGCATGTAGCACAGATCCAGGCTAAAACACACCTTAAACATGTAGGCCAAGGTGTACATACTCTGAGAATTAAGATGCAGAGAAAAATGATTTCAGGATTAAGTGCAAAGAGACGGAAATGAATGGAGCAGAGTGCCGGGATAGCTGTGTGGCTGATGATCCTCTAGCTGGAGCTAGGTCAGTGTCTTTGGGCAGAGCTGTGTGTAACATTCTCAGAAGCATGCTGAGACAACAGAATACCTTGGTGATCTTTATTCAATTGTTTATTTTTACTGAGATGGAATTCACATGCCATAATATTTGCAATTTTAAAGTATGCAATTTGATGATTTTTAGTGTATTATAAAGGCTGTGCAACCATCATCACTACCTAATTGAAAATACTTTCGTCATCCTAAAAAAAAATCTATATACATTAGTAGTCACATCCCATTACTTCTGCTCCCCCCATCTCCAGTCTTAGCAACTGCTAATCTCTTTTCTGTTTCAATGGATTTTTCTGTCTGGATGCTTTATATAAATAAAGCATTACATATGTGAACTCTTGTATTTACTTTTTTTTTCAATTCTTTTCAGTTAATTCTTATATTAATGTAATATTTTAAATGTTCATCCATGTACCATATATCAGTAATGCATTTCTTTTTAAGGCTGAGTAATATTCCATTAAATGGGTATGCCACATTTTATTCATTTATTCATCAGTTGAAAGACATTTACAATGCTTCCACTTTTTGGCTATCATTAGCTTTCATTAAAAAACATCACTAAAAGACCCATTTGATGTTATTTGTCATACATTTAAAACCAGTCTCATCAACATTTTTGTGTATTTTTCTTCAGTAAAATTCATTTGCAGGGAAGAAGGAATAGACAAGTGTACATTTAAATTCAAAGATGAGATGAGATATGATGAGACCAGATGAGATAAAATAGTTGAATAGCAAGCAAAGAATGAAAGCAAGATCGTAGATGAACTATGGAAGAAATGGAGCACAGCAGAAATAAGATGAGATCAACAGATTTAATGTATCTCATTCTGTCAAATTGTTGTTGTCAGAATGAGGAAAGTGAACTGGTAAAAATACAAAGAAAAACATTAGAAATAATACTCTCCAGGTATAGGATATTGATTATCTCTGGAAGGAGGGTGGGAAATATTGTGGAAGTGCAGAAGAAGTGTGATTCAACTGTATTGAACCTTCCCTCAAGAAACTGTGATGGATTACATGGATTTTTTAGTTATGCTTTATTTATTTTTTATATATTTTTTATTGTATAATATATTTGGCAAAAAAAGATAAGTGAATATATTCCTGATGTAGTACTTGGCAAACAACTTAGTTTAACAGAAGTTAAACAGTATTTTTATATTCATAGTAAAAATATCTCCTAATGTGTTTTAGTTTCTTTAGCAAATTATTAAGATTATTCCATGCTTTAAGAACTATGATTAGAATTTAGGATAAAGGAATGTTCCTGAAGGCAGTGACCATAAAGGTGCAGCCCTGTTTCTTACATTCATTCTCTGTGTAAATATGATGTTTGTCGAATTTTTAAAACTTAATTATTGCCTTGTTTTTTCAGTTACAAAGAGATCTATGTTAGATTTTCCTACACTGTAGATTTTTCTTTTTTCCTTGGGGATCGATCAATGTTCTCTTTTTTTTTTTTCTTTTTTAAACTTTATTTTTGGTTCAGGTGGAACATGTGTAGGTTTTTTAACTGGGAAATTGCATATCGCTGGGATTTGATGTACAAATGATTTCATCAAACAGATAGTGAATGTAATACCCAATAAATAGTTTTTCAACCCTCACCCTTTTCCCACCCTCTGACCTCAAGTAAATGCTGGTGTCTGTTGTTCCCTTCTTTGTGGCCATGTGTACTCAAAGTTTATCTTCCACTTACAAGTGAGAACATGTGTTATTTTGTTTTCTGTTCCTGCATTAATTCACTTAGGATTATGGCCTCCAGCTGCATTCATGTTGCTGCAAAGGATATGGTCCCTTTCTTTTTATGGCTGTATAGTATTCCATGGTGTACATGCACTACATTTTCTTTATGGAGTCCACCATTGATGAGCATCTAGGTTGATTCCATGTTTTCACTATTGCGAATAGCATTGTGATGAACACAGAAGTGTATGTGTTTTTTCGGTAGAATAATTTACATTCCTTTAGGTGTATATCCGGTGAGGAGCTTGCTGGGTCGAATGGTAGTTCTGTTGCAAGTTCTTTGAGAAATCTCCAAACTGTGTTCTACATTGGCTAGATTAATTTACATTCTCACTGGCAGTGTGTAACCATCCTTTTTTCTCTACAACCTCACCAGCATGTTACTTTTTGACCTTTTAAAAATAACTATTCAGACTGATGTGAGGTAGTATCTCATTGTGGCTTTGATTAGTATTTCTCTAATGATTAGTGATGAGCATTTTTAATATGCTTGATGGCCCCATGAATATCTTCTTTTGAGAAATATCTGTTCATGTTCTTTGCCTACTTTTTAATGGGGTTGGTAGACCTTTCTTGGATGCATATTTTGCAAATATTTTCTTCTATTCTGTAGCTTGTCTACTTACTCTGTTAATAGTTTTTCTTGCTGTGCAGAAACTTTTTAGTATAGTTATGTCTATTTTTGTTTTTGCTGCAATTGCTTTTGGATCCTTCATCATAAAATCTTTGCCAAGGCCTAGGTCCAGAATAGTATTTCCTAGATTTTCTTCTTGAGTTTTTATAGTTTGAGGTCTTACATTTAAGACTTTAATTAATCTTGAATTGATATTTAAAGGATGTCCTATTCAGTAAATGGTGCTGGGATAACTGGCTAGCCATATGCAATCTTCTGCATCTGTTACAGAAGATTGTATTGGCTAGCCAGTTATCCCAGCACCATTTACTGAATAGGACATCCTTTACCAATTACTCATATTGTCAACTTTGTTAAAGATAAGATGGTTGTAGGCATGCAGCTTAATTTCTGAATTCTCTAACCTGTTCCATTGGTTTATGTGTCTAATTGTGTACCAGTACCATGCTGTTTTAGTTTCTGTAGACTTGGAGTATAGTTTGAAGTCATCTGGTGTGACTCCATGACTTTGTTCTTTTGCTTGCTATTTGTTTGGCTATTCAGTCTCTTTTTGGGTTCCATATAAATTTTAGATTTTTTTTTCTAATTATGTGAAAAATGGCATTGGTAATTTGATAGGAATAACATTGAATCTGTAAATTGCTTTGGGAAATATGGCCATTTCACAACACTGATTCTATCCATGAACATGAAATGTTTTATTATTTGTTTGTGTCATCTCTGATGTCTTTGAGCAGTGTTTTTTAATTCTCATTGTAGAGACCTTTCACCTCCCTTGTTAGCTGTATTATTAGGTATTTTATTCTGTTTGTGGCTATTGTGAATGGAATTGCATTCTTTATTTGGCCCTCATCTTGGATGTTGTTGATGTGTAGAAATTTTACTCATTTTTGTACACTAATTTTGTATTCTGAAATTTTATTTCAGTTGTTTAGCAGTTCTAACAGCCTCTGAGCAGAGACTATGGGGTTTTCTAGGTATAGAATCATATTGCGGGTGAAGAGAGATAGTTTGACTTCCCCTCTTCTTATTTGGATCCCTTTTGTTTCTTGTTTCTTTTTATTGTCGATTGTTCTGGCTGGGACTTCCAGTACTTTGTTGAATAGGAGTGGTGAGAGTGGGCATCCTTGTCTTGTTCCAGTTCTCAAGGGGAATGCTTCCATTTTTTGCCCGTTTAGTGTGACATTGGGTGTAGGTTTGTAATAGGCAGCTTTTATTATTTTGAGGTATGTGCCTTTAATGCCTAGTTTGTTGAGGACTTTTAACATGAAGGGATGTTGAATTTTACGAAAAGCTTTTCTGTACCTATTGAGATAATCATGTGGTTTTGTTTATAGGTCTGTCTATGTGATGAATTACATTTATTGTTATATGTATGTTGAACCAATCTTGCATCCCAGGAATAAAACCTACTTGATCTTGGTGGATTAGCTTTTTGATGTGCTGCTGGATTTTGCTTGTAGTATTTTGTTGAGGATTTTTGACTCTATGTTCATCAGAGATATTGGCCTAAAGATTTCTTTTTTCCTTGTGTCTCTCCCAGGTTTTGGTATCAGAACAAATCTGGCCTCACAGAATGAGTTAGGGATTAGTCCCTCCTCCTCAACTTTTTGGAATCATTTTAGTAGGATGAGTACTAGCTCTTTTTTTATACTTCTTTGTAGAATTTGGCTGTTTATCTGGTCCAGGGCTTTTACTGGTCGGTAGGTTTTTTTATTAGTGATTCAATTTTGGAACTTGTTATTGGTCTGCTTAAAATTTCAATTTCTTCCTGGCTCAATATTGAGAGGTTGTATGTTTCCAGGAATTAGTCCATTTCGTTTAGGTTCTCTAGTTTGTGTTGTTCTGCATTAATTAATTTTAAATAAGGAAAAACTAAAAGCCAAAACATATATGCATTTTAAATTAAACTCTGTATTAAAGATATTTAAGAGTAGGGAACTTCTTGGGATCAAGAGATTGTTAAAAAAAAAAGCTTGTGATTTACTTTTCTAGGAAGGACTGCTCTAATTTTCTGTCTCTTAAAATAGGACAAAAATCATCTGTGCATAATTGATTTTCCTCCCTTTCTCTTAGCAAGTCTTACTTCTTACAGGCATTACTGTACTCTCAACCCTGTTCTGCCTACCACTTCCAAACACACTTCTTTCTTGGATCACTGAAATGCCTTCTGGAAATCCTTTGATGGTCAAGAGTAAATACAAGGTACAATATTTGTTTTGTTTTCGATTCCCTTTCCTTACCAAGCATACAGTAACGCTGTCCAATTTGTTCAGAGATGAAATGGAGTCTCAATTGATGCATTGCCTTATTTTAGTGTCCTTTTTCTTTGTCAAATAAGTGAGAACGAGATAAACCCTATCTCTGGGGCTCTGAGAGACAGGGATGTGTTTTACTAACAGAAGATGCTTCAACACTGCCATCTCCTGGCCATACTAGATATGCCAGGCCCCCAGGGAATTGAGCAAGCCGCTAACCCTTAGAAATGGCTGGCTTTAAACTTCCATCTTTGCCCTAGGGAAAAAATATCTCTCAGGATTTGAGAAAGGCTAATAAAACTTTGGTAATCAGGGAAAATTATGTTA
Source organism: Homo sapiens (assembly GCF_000001405.40). Taxonomy (NCBI): domain Eukaryota; kingdom Metazoa; phylum Chordata; class Mammalia; order Primates; family Hominidae; genus Homo; species Homo sapiens. The sequence goes on along the minus strand of NC_000011.10, from coordinate 5,124,087 downwards.
CAAACCACAAATATTACATAGCTGGGACCAGCAGAGAGCAACCTTCCTCTGTGCCAGTCACTTGTCACTGTTGCTCCTGGATATTGAGTAAGTTATAGTTAGGAATGTGTACAGCTCAAGTGGAGGTGAAACAGTACATCCTGAAGTACAAGTACAAGTGCAGCTAATGAATGTAGACTCCAGAAAAAATCCAAATCATAAACATGAAGAGTATATTTTTGTTAGGGTCTCACTTTGAAATTCTATGAACTACAATTAAAGAACAATAATGATAAGTTGAAGAATCTACTTTGGAAGATTGAGATGTTAAGGGCAGTTAGGAGCCTGCTATTGGAGAAGTAATTTAGACCTGCAGATGTTTTACTTGAAAGAGAGAAGGATCATGAGTGTGTAGGGAAGTTGAAACTATCCCTCTGAAGGTTGAAGTCTACGTCTGTTAAAATGAATCGACAAAAGACAAATTAACAGGAAAAAGACATAGAATTTTATTAACATGCATAAGCATGGAGAACTCCAAGGAGAATGATTACCTGATAACTCAATTAAGCACAGATGCTTATATATCCTTCTTTATAGGGGAGGGGAGAGATTGAATGGGACCTGAGAAGAGACAATAGTTTGAGATGAAGTTCATCTGGGCTCCAGGTGTGGTGTTTAATTTTCAGTGTCTTCCTCTGTAATATGAGTTTTAATCTTCTCTGGTTAATGGAATTTCAGGGAAGGGATTGAAGGCAATTGTGTTCCTCTTTAGGGGTCTAGCGTCTAGGTAGATAAGGGAACTTCAGAGAATAACCTCATCCCATGCTTTGGGAAAGACAAAGAAGTGAAAGACAGGAAGGGCTGGGGGATGTCAGAGAAACCTTGCGGTTGCTTCTTTAGTTCAGAATGTTAAAGTGCTATATTTAGGGATATTGGTTTTCTGGGCTCTAACAATGTAATGATCTCCAAAACATTCCAGAGTTTAAATCTGTGGTTATCATGGTGACTAGGGGCCAGGGAAGAACACAGAATAATATTTGGATGTGATGACTTGAGTTATGGAGAAATATTAGAAATGCTTAGCACACCACTTATAAAATTTATGGATCACCTTGATTTAGACCTAGACAACTAATCACTTGCATAACCTCTCTGCTCTCACTTAAAAAAAAATCATTGATGCATAATATCATGTTACCAGCCCTGCAACTGAACCATAGTTATTTGCCAGTGTATCGTTACTGGAAATTGTTAAGTGTCCCAGCCACAGCCATTATATTGCAATCAGAATTTTGTTTTGGATGTTTCTCTATTTCTGCTGCTTCCCAAGGCACTTCCACCTCAACATGTTTGTCAATTATTTCCCATTGAATTTCTTGGAGAATTTTCAAATAGTCTCATCCCATCATATTTTTCGTATGTCAACTTTTCCAGAAGATAAAAAAAAAAAATAGAGCTTTCGACTTTCCTTCAGCAGTAAGTAGCCTGATTTCTTTTTTTTTTATTATTATTATACTTTAAGTTTTAGGGTACATGTACACAACGTGCAGGTTAGTTACATATGTATACATGTGCCATGTTGGTGAGCTGCACCCATTAACTTGTCATTTAACATTAGGTATATCTCCTAATGGTATCCCTCCCCCCGGCCCCCACCCCACAACAGGCCCAATGAGAACACATGGACACAGGAAGGGGAACATCACACACCAGGGCCTGATTTCTATGTAAGGGTTATATCTGTTCACACTGCCTCCATATGGAGATTCAGGCTTCCAAACTCGTTAACTAAACCTCACCTCTAACTAATTCAACATCTTCTTCATGGTTCCCCTGACGATACAACCTGAGGTTCCTCTTCTCCTAAACCAGGTACTCTAAAATTTCCTTAATTTTAAATTTATATATAAATAGTTTAAATATGTCTTTACCCTCCAATGTGTGGAAAAAGTCCTGGTGTGAGAGGTTTAGGGTGCTTATATGAACTACAGAGTTTTTGTATACGGTTGTCTCCTGTATCAGAATTGCTATGGTAATACACCAAAATTATGTGACTGTCATTGTCTACTGAATGGAGTCTGAGTCTTGCAGCAGTGTCATATTTGAACACTTGGGGCTAAAGCTAGAATAAATGTTTTTATTTCTCTGTCTAAAATATAATTCCAAATATAAATATTTGTATTCCTGCTTTCCATGAACAGGTTAGAAGAGGAAAGAGAAAATGGAGTTGGGGAACAAGGAAAGCACCACTAAGCAGGTTGATCATATTGGCCTCTTCTCAGAAATGATGTCCAAAAGTCTTCACTGAGTGTGGCCGGATGATTTTGCTAAAGTGTAAACTGGTGAACCTTTCTATGGGTCTTTATATTGGCATTTTTTCATTCATTAAAAAAAAGATAAGTAAGTTGATGGAGTTGGTTCTCCTAATTCTGCTATTCAATAACTTTGTGATTGGATAAGCATAAAATATATAAAAGTACAGAGAATCACAGCTTGGCAAACTTTCTCCCCTTTCTAAGAAGACCCCTGAATGGCCCTGCCTATTACAAATGGTACCTTGTTCATGCCTTTTGTGCTGACATTTATTGGGATCCCCGGTTTTGAATCTGTACAATGCTGGATTGGGATTCCATTCTGTGCTACGTATGTCATTGCTCTGATTGGAAATTCTCTACTTTTGATCATCATCAAATCTGAGCCAAGCCTCCATGAACCCATGTATATCTTCCTGGCCACGTTAGGAGCCACAGACATTTCACTTAGCACCAGCATTGTGCCCAAGATGCTTGATATTTTTTGGTTCCATTTGCCAGAGATATATTTTGATGCTTGCCTCTTTCAGATGTGGCTCATCCACACATTTCAAGGCATTGAATCAGGAGTCCTGCTAGCCATGGCTCTGGACCGCTGTGTAGCGATCTGTTATCCTCTGAGGCGTGCTATAGTATTCACTCGACAGCTAGTCACTTATATTGTAGTTGGAGTGACATTGCGGCCTGCCATTCTGGTAATTCCATGCCTATTGCTTATAAAATGCCATCTGAAACTCTACCGAACCAAGTTAATATACCACACTTACTGTGAACGCGTGGCCCTTGTGAAGCTTGCCACTGAAGATGTTTACATTAATAAGGTCTATGGTATCCTTGGAGCATTTATTGTTGGTGGGCTTGACTTCATTTTCATCACCCTCTCCTATATTCAGATATTTATCACTGTCTTTCACTTGCCTCTGAAAGAGGCACGACTTAAGGTATTTAATACATGTATTCCCCATATATATGTCTTCTTCCAATTCTATCTCCTTGCTTTTTTTTTCATTTTTTACTCGCAGATTTGGATCTTATATCCCATCATATGTACATATCACCTTGTCCAGTCTTTACCTACTGGTCCCACCATTCCTCAACCCCTTTATCTATGGGTTAAAGACCAAACACATTAGAGATAAGGTAGTAAAAACATTCTGTTCCAAAGATGAGGCTTGAAATTTGATTGAAATAGTTTCTTCATAAAGATAATAGCTCACCTATTACTAGACCTATGAGATCCAGTCAATGGTTTGGGGTATCATTATGATTGATGAATAAATTAATGTGTCTGTATACACACACCTACAAACATATATACACATATATATTCATATCTCTGCAAGCATTTTTCTAGGTATATTAATAGAAATGAAAATTGCAGTATAAAGTTTGTTCTGTTAATTTTTGATAAGTATTGTCATTTCATTTTAGACAATTTCAGTAGCTCATACTTCCATAAGCAAAATTCAAGTACTTGTTTCCCCATGTTATATTATTAAAATTTAACCAAAAAATAAAAAAAGTCCATAGTTTTATTACTTAAAGTCACATGGTTTTATTTTGAGATTATTTTTAATTCACACTGGATTTTGTTTTTGTGCAAAATGTGAATTACACAGCTTAACGGAGCAAACTTAATAGAGGAAACTCTATTTTGCTAAATAGAGTTTGTATTAAGCAATTTATTATCTTTCTATGTTATTCTGTGTTTTTTTTTACTTAATATATTACCACAACTTTGTGTATTTTTTCCTGTCCTTATTTTCTGACTGTCCTTATACCACCATGCTTTACTAGTTTAACTATTAAAGTCATAGAATACTTTGATGTTGTAAAGAACAAGTATTTTTTGACATTTTTGATTGCAGATATTAATTCTGTAGCCAAACCTAATTGTTTGTTTACCGATAGATTATTTTCCTGGAATTTTCCCTGAAGAAAAATTAGGTAATAAAATAAGAATTAGTACTCCCTGAGATGTTTCTTTAGCCCTTGTAATATTTATAAACAAATGTATGGGATACTGAAGTACTAATTTTAAACCTTATTAGACAACTTTAGTGAAATTGCCTGCAACAAGCTTCTGTTAAGAAAAGCCTATCCTCCTTTCTCAACTTTTCTTTAATGATGCCCCTACACCATCATGATGTGACTTTGTTTTACTCAGTTCACAGTTATCCAGCAACAAAACACACAAAAATCAACTGGAACAAAAGATGTAAATTTAGGCTGCCATTATTATTTACCTATCAGAATTTGCTAATTTATTTCCCCAAGTCTTTCATTTATTTTCTTAAAACAGAAATTAACACCTTTTCTTTCCACTTGCCTTCCACCTGCCTTCCACAAACACCCACCATTTGACCCACCCACCCACAATAGTGTAGCTGGATGCTGCCAAAAGAGATAAGTGAAAGCACATTATAACCTGCAAACTGTGATTCAGAGATTGTGCCTATCTAAATCCATTATTCAATCAAACCAGCTTCCATTTGCATGCTTGGGGTCTAGAATAATAAAACAAATAATTATTTCATACCAAACTAAGTAGTGTTATATGATATGTCAATATTTAAATCCTCCATCTAATTGGCTTCTAATTTCTCCGTATCTCTTATCTCCCCTTTTCTTTAATTTTTAACTTCTTTCAGATTATTATTTTTAAGCTTTTCACTGAAGTATATCATACAATTAGAAAAGTGCACCAATCCTAAGACTATATTTTTCTCTCCCCTCCCCTCCCCTCCCTTCCCCTCCCCTCCCCTCTCCTCCCCTCTCCTCCCCTCCCCTCCCCTCTCCTCCTCTCTCTTCTCTTCTCTTCTCTTCTCTTCTCTTCTCTTCTCTTCTCTTCTCTTCTTTTCCTTGAGCTCAAGTCTCACTCTATTGCCCAGGGTGGAGTACAGTGGCTCAGTCATGCATGGCTCACAGCAACCTGAACTGCCTGAGCTAAAGGAATTCTCCCACCTCAGCCTCTGGTGTAGCTGGAACTACAGGTGCATACCCCTAGGCCCACCACCTAATTTTTTTATTATTATTTGTATAGAAGAGCTCTCTTTATGTTGCTCAGGCTTGTATAGACCTTCTAGGCCCAAGCCATCCTCCCGTCTCCACCTTGCAAAGTGCTGGGATTACAGACGTGTGCCACTGACATGAATTTTAGTATAATGGGCAGACTGAGCCAAAAAAGCATCCAGATCAAGAAACATAACACGACCAGCAAAGCAGAAATTCTCCTTCACTTGTTTCCTTGTTCCTACCCACGTTAGATAACCACTATCCTGATTTCTATTACCAAGATAACTTTGCTTCTTTAGAAATGTACATAAATGAAATATTGCAGCAAATTTGTTTGCTTCAAGTTTAGGTTTTTAAGATTTATCTATATTGTTGCATATAAAAATGAGCTATTCTCATTGTGTTATAATATTCAACTTTATGAATACACTACAATTTCTTTACACGTTGTTTGCTTTTTCGTGGGGGGGCTAGATAATACATAATATTTTGCTATCAAAAGTAGTGTTGTTGTGGGCATTACTTTACATAGTATTGGTAATATATGGCTGTATTTGAAGGAGTATATGTATAGAATTAGAATTGCCAGATAATATGATATTCCTAAGATTGATATTAATACATCTTGATAAATATTTTTTGAAAACTGATTTTGCAAAAAAGTAATTGTACCAATTTGTAAGATTACAGCGGATTTTTTGCATTTTTTATTGACAAATCATATTTATAGATATTTATGTAGTAGATGAGATATTTTGATACATGCGTACAACATATAATGATCAAATAAGGGTATTTGGGGTATCCACAGCCTAAAACATTTATCATTTCTTTGTGTTGGGAAGATTTCAAATCTTCTCTTCTAGCTGTTTTTTAAGTATGCAATATATTGTTGTTAACTATTGTCACCCTACTGTGATATTGAACATCAGAATTTAAGGTGTCAAGATAAAGAAAAGTTGGGTAATGAGAACAACATACAACTAAGTCCTAGGTCAGCAATTTTTAAGTGTTCTAGTTGCTTCATATCCTTGCTAGCATTTTGAATCATCAATCTTTCATTTTCTTGCTTGTGTACAGTAGCATCATGTTGTGAATTTAATTCAATCATTTTTATTCATGTCAAAGGGGTCATATGCATCATTTCTCACATTCCTTTGTCCTAAACCCAACCACATGATCACAACCAGGGACAGGAGTGAAAGAAAAATGCAGTGTCTAGATGAGTGGCTATGAGATGAGCTTAAACTATACGCTGGTGGAGGTGGAGAGGAATCTGTTACTGAGACAGAGACAGAATCCATACAGGGGGATTGTTAAAGTCTCTTGCACAGTGCAGTGCTTTTGATACAAAATATAAAAAGAGCAAGACATACTATACATTATAAAGAAACGTTGGTATTTTTGAAAATGTACCACACATCAAAATAACAAGAGTGTAAAATATGACTTTAATACATTTTATCAGAACCGTATGTACAAAATGCCAAGGAGCTTAAAAGAGAAAGGTGACATTCAATGCTGAGTTCAAGGTTTTTGGGGAAAGACATGGTTAATGATGAAGTATTTGAGACGTTCTTTGGAAGATAGATGGGTTGTGTGTGTGTGTGTGTGTGTGTGTGTGTGTGTGTGTGTGTTTAAATGAAGGTATTTCTCTAAAGGACATTTCTAAAATAACTCAAGAGAAGGTGTCCAAGAATAAGAAAGGCATACATGCTGTTCAATTAAAAGCAATAAAGTTTAGAGCTCAGGATGAGTAAGACAGCATATATTGATGTAGAAACAAAGAGGTTAGAATGTAGAATGTTTGGTTAAGAGGAAGAATTACAGTGGAAAGCAAATCAGCTTTGAAGTCAAGCATACCTAGGTTTGATTGTCAGCACTTCCATGGACTAGTCTGATACTGTGAAAGTTACTAATTTCCACGAATCTCAATTTCTGCATTGGACATTTGAAGCAATTAAATCAAATGAGGCATTTAGCAGAGGCTGATAATAATTGTTATGCTTTTGTCAATCCTTTTTTGCTGTCTCTTTTCTATCCTTAAAATTCTGGGGTCCACAGGAAATTACTTATTTTGTGTGAATTTATTTTGTTAATTTATTCATTTGATGTACCAAAGTAGATATTCTAAGTGCAAGAGTATGGCGAGATCTGTAAATAACGCTGGCATGATTTATACCCTACCATCCAAGACAATGTTTCATGAGCAAGGTGAATTTATTATTTATATTGTTCTCATTCATTAATAGTAACATTTTCTACTGACAATTTTCGATAAATGATAAATAACTACAATGCTGTGGGATCTGTAATAAGTTCTGATGAAGATATACAGATGATTGGATATAGCATCTAGACTCAATAACCTTTTACTAAATATCAAAAGATCACTCAGATGAATAAGGTCTGGAGTGGACTCCCAGAAAACTGCAGCAGCCCTGTGGAAGAGGGGCCTGACTATTAAAAGGAAAACAAACAAACGGAAAGCAACAACAACAGCAGCAGCATCAACAAATACATCCCCACAAAAACCCCATCCAAAGGTCAGCAGCCTCAACAATTGAAGCTAGATGAACTCAGTAAGGTGAGACAGAATCAGTGAAGAAATGCTGAAAACTCAAAAACCAGAGTGGCTTTTCTCTAAATGATTGCAACACCTCTCCTGCAATGGCACAGAGCTGGGTGGAGGGTGAGATGGCTGAATTGACAGAAGTAGGCTTCAAAAGGCAGGTAATAACAAACTTTGCTGAGCTAAAGCAGCATGTTCTAACCCAATGCAAAGAAGCTTAGAACCATGATAAAACATTACAGGAGTGATTAACCAGAATAACCAGTTTAGAGAGGAACATAAATGACTTAATGGAGTTGAAAAGCACAACACAAGAACTTCACAATACAATTACAAGTATCAATAACAATAGACCAAGCAGAGGAAAGAATTTCAGAGCTTGAAGACTATCTTGCTGAAATAAGACAGACAGACAAGATTAGAAAAAACAGAATGAAAAGGAACAAACCAACCCTCTGAGAACTATGGGATTATGTAAAAAGACCAAAACTACAACTGATTGGGGTACATGAAAGAGACAGGGAAAAAACCAAGTTGAAAAACATACTTCAGGATATCATCCAGGAGAACTTTCCCAACGTAACAAAACAGACCAGCATTCAAATTCAGGAAATACAGAGAACCCTAGTAAGATACTCCATGAGAAGATCGAACCTAAAACACATAATCAGCAGATTCTCCAGCGTCAAAATGAAGGAAAAAATGTTAAGGGCAGTTAGAAAGGCCATGTGACATATAAAGGGAAGCCCATCAGACTAACAGTGGACCTCTCAGCAGAAACTCTACAAGCCAAAAGATATTGGGGGCCAATATTCAACATTCTTAAATAAAAGAATTTTCAACCCAGAATTTCATATCCAGACAAACTGAGCTTCGTAAGCGAAGGAGAAATAAAATCCTTTTCAGACAAGCAAAGGCCGAGAGAATTCATCACCACCAGGCCTGCCTTGCAAGAGACTTTGAAGGAAGCACTAAATATGGAAAAGAAAAACTGCTGTCCAGGCACGGAGGCTCACGCCTGTAATCCCAGCACTTTGACAGGCTGAGGTAGGTGGATCACCTGAGGTCAGGAGTTCAAGACCAGTCTGACTAGCATGGAGAAACCCCATCTCTACTAAAAATACAAAAAATAAGCCGAGCGTGGTGGCACATTCCTGTAATCCCAGCTACTTGGGAGGCTGAGGTAGGAGAATCACTTGAACCCAGGAGGCGGAGGTTGCAGTGAGCCGAGATCATGCACTCCAGCTTGGGGAGCAAGAGCAAAACTCTGTCTCAAAAAACAATCCCCAAACCAAACCAAAACAACAACAACAACAACGACAAAAACTATTACCAGCCATTACAAAAACACACTGAAGTACACAGACCAATGACACTATGAAGCAACTACATCAACAAGTCTGCAAAATAACTAGCTAGCATCATGATGACAGGATCAAACCCACACATTACAATATTAACCTTAAATGTAAGTGGTCTAAATGCCCCATTTAAAAGACACAGAATGGAAAGCTGAATGAAGAGTCAAGACCCATTGGTGTGCTGTATTCGAGACACCCATCGCACATGCAAAGACACACATGGGCTTAAAATAAAGGGATAGAGGAAAAATTGTCAAGTAAATAAAAAAAAAGCATGGGTTGCAATCCTAGTTTCTGACAAAACAGATTTTAAACCAACAAAGATCAAAAAAGACAAAGAAGGGCATTAAATAATAGTAAAAGGTTCAATTTTACAAGAAGAGCTAACTATCCTAAACATAATGGCAAAGGGATCAATTCAACAAGAAGAACTAACTATCCTAAATATATATGTACCCAATACAGGAGCACCCAGATTCATAAAACAAGTTCTTAGAGACCTACAAAGAGACTTAGACTCCCACACAATAATACTGGGAGACTTTAACAGCCTGCTGTCCATATTAGACAGATAATCAACAAAGAAAATTACCAAGGATATTTAGGACTTGAACTCAGCTCTGAATCAAGTGGACCTGATAGATATCTACAGAATTCTCCACCCCCATCCAATACCACACAACTGCGTGGAAATTGGACAATCTGCTCCTGAATGATGACTCCCAGGTAAATAATGAAATTAAGGCAGAAATCAAGAAGTTCTTTGAAACTAATGAGAACAGAGACAATTTACCAGTATCTCTGGGATTCAGCTAGAGCAGTGTTAAGAGAAAAATGTGTGGCACTAAATGCCTACATCAAAAAGCTAGAAAGATCTAAAATCGATACCCTAACATCACAACTAAAAGAACTAGAGAACCAAGAGCAGACAAACCTTAAAGCTAGCAGAAGACAAGAAATAACCAAGACCAGAGTGGAACTGACAGAGATAGAGATATGAAAAACACTTCAAAAAATCAATGAATCCAGAAGCTGATTTTTTGAAAAATCTATAAAATAAGATAGATCACTAGCTAGAAAAATAAAGAAAAGAGAGAAGAATCAAATAGACACAATCAGAAATGATAAGGGGGATATCATTATTGACCCCACAGAAATACAAACAACCCTCAGAGATAAACACCTCTATGCACATAAACTAGAAAATCTAGAAGACATGAATAAATTCCTGGATGCATACACCCTCTCAAAACTGAACCAGGAAGAATTTGAATCCCTGAATGGACCAGTAACAACTTCTGAAGTTGAGACAGTAATAAATAGTCTTTAAAAAAAGCCCAGGACCAGATGGATTAGCAGCTGAATTATACCAGAGGTACAAAGAGGAGCTGGTATAATTTCTTCTGAAACTATTCCAAACAATTGAAAAGAAGAGATTTCTTCCTAACTCACTTTATGAGGCCAGCATCATCCTGATACCAAAACCTGGCAGAGATACAACAACAACAAAAAAAGGAAACTTTAGGCCTATATCCCTGATGAACATCAATGCCAAAATTCTCAATAAAATACTGGCAAACCGAATCCAGCAGCACATCAGAAAGCTTATTCACCATGATCAAGTCAGCTTTATTCCAAGATGCAAGGTTGATTCAACATATGCAAATCAATAAATGTAATTCATCACATAAACAGAATTAAAGACAAAAATGACAAGATTATGTCAACAGATGCAGAAAAGGCCTTTGATAAAATTCATCATCTCTTCATGTTAAAAACTCAATAAATTAGATTTTGATGGAACATATCAAAAACTAATACGAACCATTTATGACAAACCCACGGCCAATGTCATACTGAATAAGCAAAAACTGGACGATTCTCCTTGAAAACTGGCACAAGATAAGAATGCCTGCTCTCACCACTCCTATTCAAAATAATATTAGAAGTTCTGGCCAGGGAAATCAGGCAAGAGAAAGAAATAAAGGATATTCAAATAGGAATAGAAGAAATTAAGTCCAACTGTCTTTTTCTGCAGATGACATGATCCTGTATCTAGAAAGCCCCCATATCTCAGCCTGAAAGCTTCTTAAGTTAGTAAGCAACTTCAGCAAAATCTCAGGATACAAAATCAATGTGCAAAAACCACAAGCATGTCTACACACCTGCAATAGACAAGAAGAGAGCCAAATCACAAATGAACTCACATTCACAATTGCTACAAAGAGAATTAAATACCTAGAAATACAGCTAACAAGGGAAGTGAAGGACTCTTCAAGGAGAACTACAAACCAGTGCTCAAGGAAATGAGAGGACACACACAAATGTAAAAACATTACATGTTCATGGATAGGAAGAATCAATATCATAAAAATGGCCATACTGCCAAAAGTAATTTATATATTCAATGCTATCCCCATTAAACTACCATTGACATTCTTCACAGAACTACTTTAAAATTCACGTGGAACCAAAAAAGAGCCCCTATAGCCAAGACAATCCTAAGCAAAAAGAACAAAGCTGGAGTCATCACACTACCCAGCTTCAAGGTATACTACAAGGCTATGGTAACAAAAACAGCATAGTACTGGCACAAAAACGGACACACAGACCAATGGAACAGGGTAGAGATATCAGAAATAAGACCACACATCTACAAGTATATGACCTTCAACAAACATGACAAAAACAAGCAATGGGGAAAGGATTCCATATTTAATAAATGGTACTGGGAAACTGGCTCGCCATATGCAGAAAATTGAAACTGGACCCCTTCCTTACACCTTATACACAAATTAATTCAAGATGAATTAGACTTAAATGTAAACCCCAAAACTACAAAATCTAGGCAATACCATTCAGCACATAGGCACGGACAAAGATTTCATGACAAAAACGTCAAGAGCAATTGCAACAACAGCACAACTTGACAAATGGGATCTAATTAAACTAAAGAGCTTCTGTACAGCAAAAGAAACTGTCATTAGAATGTAGAGACAACCTGCAGAATGAACGAAAATGCTTTCAATCTATGACAAAGCATTGTAGATATCCAGTATCTACAAGGAACTTAAATAAATTTATAAGAAAAAAACACCACCATTAAAAAGTGGGCAAAGACATGAACAGACACTTCACAAAAGAAGACATTTATGTGACCAAAAAACATGAAAAAAGGCCCAACATCACTGATCACTGGAGAAATGCAAATCAAGACCACAATGAGATACCATCATGCACTGGTTAGAATGGCGATTATTAAAACGTAAATAAACAACAGATGCTGGTGAGGCTGTGGAGAAATAGGAACACTTTTACACTGTTGGTGGGAATGCAAATTAGTTCAAACATTGTGGAATACAGGGTGTCAATTCCTCAAAGACCTAGAACAAGAAATACCATTTGACCCAGAAATCCCATTACTGGGTGTATACCCATAGGAATATAAATCGTCCAGTTACAAAGATATATGCACACATATGTTCATTGCAACACTATTCACAACAGCAAAGACATGGAATCAAGCCAAATGCCCATCAATGATAGAATGGTTAAAGAAAATGTGGTACACATACACCATAGAATCCTATGTAGCCATAAAAAGGAATGAGATCATGTCCTTTGCAGGGACATGGATGGAGGTGGAAGCCATTTTCCTCATCAAACTGACACAGGGATAGGAAACCAAACACCACATGTTCTGACATATAAGTGGGAGCTGAATAATGAGAACACATGAACACAGGGAGGAGAACAACACATACTAGGACCTGTTAGGGGGTGGGCCCTACAGTATTGTAGGACAGTGGTGCTAAAATATCATATTTTTACTCTTAACTTTTCTGTTTAGATATACAAATACTTAACATTGTGTTAAAACTGCCTGTAGTATCCAGCACGGTAACATGCTGTACAGGTTTGTAGCCAAGGAATAATAGGCAGTAATCTATAGCCCAGACGCGTATTAGGCTGTACCATCGCAGTTTGTGTCAGTACACTCTATGATGTCACACAATGACAAAATCGCCTAAGGATGCATTTCTCAGAACATATCCTCATCGTTAAGCAACACGTGACTATAATCATCCTAAAGATTATTTCTCAGTTCCTTCAAGTATAATCCACTATTATACTGGAACCCTGCTTGCATGGTGGCAAGGTATGGCAGAAGGAAAGCTCTCAATAATCTTCCAATTAAACCTGAGCCTTCTGGTGCCTTTGGCTCACGTCTTTACCTTCACAAGTATTTCTCTGGTTGTATAGTGCCCTCTCTCCTCCTCTGTTCTCTTCCCTGACTTCAGTGTTCCTAATCTATTTCCTTGAAGCCTTGACATCTGTTGACTAGATGTTTATTTCCTCTTAGGTGAGTTAGGAAGGCTGGAGAAGTCTTTGGCAGTAGCATTCAAAAGTGCCAAAAGTCTTTGGCAGTGACATTTGGCAAATTAGTCTGCATGCTCTTTACTTTCCCTATGCATGAAATGAGGTAGTGACAGTACCTGTCTGATAGGGTTACACATAGAAATAAATGCACTTATTTAGAAATGTCCCTGACACATGTTCTGTATATTATTTGACTTTTAATTTATTTGACATAATGGTTGTATATATTTATAAGGTACAATGTGATATTTTTGTATATGTATACATTATGCAATGATCAATGTAATTAACATTAATGTAATTAACATATTAGATATATTAATAATCAGTTCTAGATACATTGAGTTTTAGATGCACTGAGTTAATGAAAAGTTCTAATACACAACTAATATATACAATCAATCCAATTAACATATAAATCACCTCACATACTTATTTTTGTGGTAATAACATTTGAGATTTATTCTCAGCAGTTATGATATGCATAATACATTATCATTTACTATAGTCAAGATACTGTACAATAGATCTCAAAAACTTGCCCTTCTGGTCTAACTAAAATTCTGTACCCTTTTGCCAATATCTCCCCTTCACTGCCTAACTTCCTCAGCTCTGGTAACTACCATTCTACTATCTACTCCTATGAGTTCAACTTTTTTGTGTTCCACATGTAAGTGATACCCTGCAGTATTTGTCTTTGCATGCCTGACTTATTTCACTTAACATAATGTCTTTCAGTTTTGTCTCTGTTGTTGCAAATGACAAGATTTTCTTCCTAGTTAAAGCTGAATAGTATTCCATTGTGTATACATAGCATACCACATTTTCTTTATCCTTTCTGGAGAGATTGATGTCTTAGCTGTTGTGAATGGTGCTTCAGTGAGCATAGGAGTACAGGTATCTCTTTGACATACTGATTTTTTATTCCTTTGGACATAAACCCTGTAGTGAGATTGCTGTCTCATATGGTAGTTCTACTTTTAGATTTTTCAGAAACCTCCATTTTGTTTTTCATAATGGCAATACCAGTTAACAGTCCCACAAACAGCATATAGGAGTTCATTTTTCTCCACACTCCCTCGAGCATTTTTTCTAAAGACTTTATTTTTTTAGCTTTTATATTATAATTTAAAGTTCCTCTGGGATTAATTTTAGTATATAGTGCAATTGAGGGGTTGAGATTCATTTTGCTTTTTTCATATACGTGAGCTATTTTCATCACCATTCCTTTAAAAAATCATTTTCTCAAAGTAGTACACTGTCTCTGTCTCCATATTAGTGGTTTGATTTTACATTGTCTGTTTTGATTCATTAGCCTACTTGCGTATCCTTGAGTCAAACTACAGCAAATATGGTTCTGACGTCTACTTAGTATCAATCTTGCATCTGGTTGTGTTTATCCCTCAGTGTTTTTGTTTTACAGGAAAGCCTTGAGTATTCCAGGACCTAATTTACATCTCCATATAAACTTTCAATGCTACTTGAAAATTTCCACAAAATGACTTTCAGAAAATTTTATTGAGATTGCATTGAATCTGAATATCTTTATAGGGAAAATCATATTATTTACAATATTGTGTCTTTAAATTCAATCATAAGTGTGGTATATTCTACCATTTATCTGAGTCTTCTTAACTTATTACATAGTTTTCAAGGTAGATATCTTATATCATTCATTAAAGAGATTCATAGATGTTTGCATATTTAGTTGCTTGATTTTTAATTACAACATTGACTTGTAAAGGATGTTCCCAACTAAAAAATAAAATGAAGTACATGATTATAAAAATAAATATTAGAATTTTTTCTAGTTTTACTACTTTGAACATGTTTTTTCTTTCACTGAGAATGTGTTAATAGGCGAAAATGAAGTTATATAATAGATAACTTGCAGGATAGCAAAAGATAAAGCATATATGGTATCTGTTGTTTTGCTTTTCATGATTTCGGTATCCATGGTCAATCATGGTCAGAAAATAGGTGAGTAGAGTACAATAAAGGTATTAATATTTTAAGAGAGAGAAAGAATATTCACATAACTTTTATTATATTGTTGTAAGTGTTCTATTTTATTACTAGTTATTGTTGTTAATCTTTTTCTAATGCATTAATTAAACTTTATAATAACTATGCTATAGGAAAAAAATAGAATATATATACGGGATATATGGGGCTAAATACTATTAGCAGTTCCAGACATCCACTGAAGGTTTTGAAACATATTCACTGTGGATAATGGGGGAATACTGTATACCTTACTTGAGATAAACTGCATATGAATTATAGAGCTGTTTGTATAAATGATTATAAATTTTATGTGCTGAAAGTTGTAACAAATAAAATAAAATTAAAATAATGTCCATTTTTATTATTATTAGAAATGCTGCTAATTGGTTGGTAAAAATTAGTTGTTGCCTCTGTTACTTATACCAATTAGCAGAATTTGGAATCTGATATTTTGCAATAATTTTATTATACTTTAATAATAATAAAAGTAATAGGCAATCATAATTGTTAATATTTATTTAGTGTTTTTAAGAGTATAGAATAAAGGAAGTGGATTGAATTAGGGCTATGTATATTATTTCTTTCAAACAGGATTATATTTATTGTCTTTGATGGTGTGGGCATCTTTTGAGGGTGAGATAGGTGTAGACGAAAATCAAGAAGAAAAACAATTATCCTTTCTCCTCCTCCTCCTCTTCTTCTTCTTCTTTTCTCCTTCCTCCTCCCCCCTCCCCCTCCTCCTCTTCTTCCTCCTCCTCCTCCTTCTCTTCTTCTTTTTGACAACATCTTGCTCTGTCGTGCAGTCACACGATTTTGGCTTACTGCAGCCTCAAACTTCAGGGGACAAGAGATTCTCCCACCTCAGTCTCCTAAGTAGCTGGGACTATAGGAGTGTACCACCACACCTGGCTATTGTTTTTGTTTTTTGTAGAGATAAAGTCTGACTATGTTGCCCAGGCTGATATCTCACTCCTGGGCTCAAGCTATCTGCAAACCAGAGCCTCCCAAAGTGCTAGGATTACAGGTATGAGTCATCGTTTCTAGACCCTACTCTCTTTCATGGTTGGGAAAATACCAGTTCTCTTAAGGGAAATAAGACATAACATTATAGTTACAAATCTAGTAATGATTATCTGGATAAAGTGACTATTTATTCTGTTTATAGCATTCTATAGTCTATGATAATTAACCACATTCTGTTATCTACCACAGATATGCCTATCATGTAAGTGTTAGCATGGGTTTGAGGTGCAGGCAAGGAAAATGCCACTTTCAGATGTTACCTTGGGTTGCTATGTAACCTATCCAAATGTCGTTATTTAACTTGTTGTATTACATTGGACACATGCAGCCTACCCTACACAAAGATCAGTTTTATTATTTTGAAGTAAAACTTTTATTTTAAAAAAGCATATTATGTGAATTGTGCTTTCAGTTTTTGCTCATGAAAAATAATTTCTTACTTAGAAATCTGCCCTTCAGAACCCCATCTCTATTTTTATTATTGCAACCATATATTTCCTGTAGTGGGTTTTACGTAGGTTAAATAGCTGAGGGAAAACTGGAAATCGAGACACATTTCCAATGCTTTTGTCATTGACGCTTACTTGTATTTTTCTTGTAGGGCATGAAAACAAAAAGTAAAATGATGGTTGGAAAAAAATGAAGAGTTTGACTATAAAATACATTATTAGAACATGAAAAACATCTGTGAAATGTTTAGTAGAGTACATTGTTACTTAAAGATTACTTACATGTGTCTCCTGTCTGACCAACTGTAAATAGGTGTAAACTTTTCTTCTAAAGAGAAGATAATATAAATCTAGTTTATTTGAAGAATGATGTATAATGAAACATTATTAAATTTGAGTGGTACTTAAGATACAAATCCAAGTTGAGAAAAACACTGGTAAGAATGCTATTGAATAAACTACTGACAAAAAGAGTCCCTGGAAAATTCATTATATTCTTGTTCCTATCTTTAAGAGAACAGGGCACTTCCTTAAGAGCACAGGAATCAGTTCTTCAGACAAATATATTCAGATACTCCTTGTGTTATTCTCCACTAGTTCCTTCCAGAAGGTTTTACCTGAAATCTCTAGTCGACAATCTTTGCTGAAAATATAATTAATCTATCTCCCATATTTCTGAACTCTAAAGATTTTTGTTCTGATCCTTTTAATCATGCCAGAAATTGTAAAGTTATTTTTCCACCATCATGCAATGAACATGGCATCAGAAAATTAGTTCCTAGTCTCCTGAGCAGTCACTCTTCTGCTTTGCTTCATCATTTTTCTTTGCATGTCAGTTTCTGCCAATAGTAAATTGAGAAAGAATATTCACAAAATTGCCTTTGGCTCACAGGAGTTGTAGCAAAATTATGTCTTCATAGCTACACAAAATATGTGGAAAAACATCCAGCAAATTCCTGTTAAAGTAGCTGACTTTGAAAATTTATTTTGTATCTGAAATTATCTGAGATTCGTCAACTTTTGCGAAACATCAAGCCTCAAAGGATGTATGTACGTTACATTGCACAAATAAAGAGACCTTTGCAGAAGAAGTTGCCCTGATGTCTGATAGAGGGTTGCCTAAAAGTATCACACATACATACACACATGCACACACACAGACACACACACACACACACACACACACACACAGAGAGTGATTAAACATAATTTGGAAAATAAGTCTTAGAATTCTGTGCATTCAGCTCCTTTTATAAACAAGATTTGTATTCTTTCACACAAGTATTTTTTTCAGGTACTTTCACTTCATGCTTTCCCAGAAATGAGAAGGGAGGCAGTGGTACAGTGAGGACACATAGTGCCTACAGGATCTTAAGAAAAGCAAAACAAAAAAATGGCTGCTGAAATGAAAGGGAAAAACCATACGTTTTAAAAAATGTGACTCAGTATCCCAGTGTTGTACTCAGAAAAATAAGATGTATTTAAATTGTTAAATTAGAATTCTACCAAGATCTTTTTCATTTTAAATTTTCATTTAGTTCTTTTTGCGGAGAAAGTCTAGACAGTTGCAGGCAACTAATTGTGACCCACTGGAAGACTAACCTGTTTTTTAATACACAGAAACAGAATTTCACTTGATTTCCATAGTTAAAAACGGAAAGGGATTCCAGTGGGATATGTTCTCCTGCTATAATGAAACTTTATATTCAGAAGAACACTCAACACGAATGAGGAGAGACAACATGGAGGTTTAAGACCGGAAAATATTCTCCAAAGTTTGTTCCTTTAGGACTTGCAGAATCTCTTGATATGAAATTCACTTACAAAATAATTACCTAGTGAAGTCTCAAAATTGACTTCTCTCAGCCATATCCACACCCTCAAGAAGTAAAGAAATAAGAGACCTTACTTTGAGGTGAAAGTATGGACCACATGCTCATGAATCTGCTTGGTTCTCACACCATAGATAATAGGATTGAGGGCAGGTGGAATGACCACATAGAGGTTGGCAACAAGAATGTGGACATAACGGGGAATTTTTTTTGCGAAATCGGTAGGTGAGGAAGGAGAAGAGGGAGGGTGTATAGAAAACACACATGACCCCAACATGTGAGCCACACGTTCTCAGTGCTTTGTGACGAGCGTCTTGAGATGGGAGGTGGAAAACAGCTCGGAGAATGTAGGTATAGGAGATTCCAACAAGTGCGACATCCAAAATAAGAAGCCACAAAAAGCCCATAAATAGCATTGATGTGAATGCTAGCACAGGCCAACTTAGCAATACCCATGTGCTCACAGTAGGAGTGGGCAATAATCCGAGCCTCACAGAAGGGCAGACGATGGGTTAGGTAGAGAATGGGCAACATGAGCAGGACTGGGCGCATTATAATGCTCACACCAATGCCTGCCAATACTCGGGGTGTCAGAGTAGAGGTATAGTGGAGTGATGTACAGATGGCCACATAGCGGTCAAAGGCCATTGCCAGCAGCACAGTGGACTCCATTCCTGTGAAAGTGTGTATCAGAAACATCTGGGCTACCCAGGCTCCAAAGCCAATTTTATGTGCATCAAACCAGAAGATACCCAACATACGAGGCACTGAGGATGTTGAGAGGGCTAGGTCTATGGCTGATAAGATGGCTAGAAAGTAGAACATAGGGTCCCGAAGAGTACGATCAGACCAGATTGTCAGTAGAATTGTAGCATTGCCCAGCAGAGGCATCAAGTAAATACAGCAAAAGGGCATGGAAATCCAGCCATGGAAAGCCTCAAGTCCCGGGATGCCTGTCAGAAAAAAGGTGTCTGGGTGGAAAATGGTGGTGGTGGTGTGGAACATCTTGCCATTGACGAGAAAAGTATTAGCTGACCACCTCTAGAAGGAAAATTAAAATTTATAAATGTTTAGCTCAAAATATCTCCAATAAGCTTAATTTTATCTCTATTTTTCTTAGAAAATTATTGCCAAATCTTGAGTCCAAAGTCAGATCTAGACACAGACTGGGCATTCTTCAACTGGAAGACAAATTAGCTTTATGACTCAGAGGGAGACCTGAGTCTTCCTCTGAGGTTCTGGACAATAATATACTCATTTGTTCAAACCCCGTACAAAACCTGGAATGAATTTTGAAAATGAAGGTTATGTTTTAGTGAGATGTCAGTCTTTTTTGAAGACAAAGCAGACCTTAATTATACAGATCAACGTACAAAATCACAGAAAGACACTGCTATCTGCCCACAAAACATGACAATATATACAAAAACCTGAGTGTAACTAGCCGTGAAGAATGACAGAAAATCTAGCAGAATCCTTAAACCGGTTTATTTGGTATCAGTAATTTCCATGGAGCATATTTGGAAAGTCAGACCCAAAATAAAAACTTATGCTTTATTAATTTATTCTTTATATGTTTATTCCTATACCCCACGGACACACTGTATTATATAATACTTCAGATATGAAAATAGTTGCAGAAAGATGAAAAACACTGCAGCTGGAAATCACCCCTAAAAGAGAAATGCGTGTTTTTGCCAGTAGTCTTCTGGTGAGAATATAATTTATAAATAAGACCAAATTTTCTACTGGTTGATAAATTCCCAGGAATATTAATTGTATCTAATCTTGTTGAGAGTGGGGAAATAAGGAGATTTGTTGAAATAAGGAAACTTGAGAGAAATTTTAAAAAGACAATGATAGTGGTTGACACCAGGCTAAAAAGATCTATGTTACTGATTTCCCACACTGCAGTTCTGATATTCCCTTTCCCTCCCTCCCTCCCTCCCTCTCTCCCTCCTTCCCTTCCTTCCTTCCTCCCTTCCTTCCTTCTTACCTTCCTTCTTCCTTCCTTCCAGAAAGAAAAGATAAATAGGACTATTACAAAAAGAAGGAAAAAATGGAGGAGTAGAGATAGAAATGGCAGGAAAGTCGGAAAATATTTTTAAAAGAAAAGTAGGAGAAAGAAAGAAAAAAAGAGAAGAAAGGAAGGGAGGAAGGTTGGTCTTAAATCTAATTGAGTCCAGAGAAAATAAGAGGAGAAAGTCCAAATTTTGAAAAGTATTTTATAAATGACATTAAAAATATAGTTTTCCCAGCCAGTAAATTGTGCAAGATTATATTAATTTTATATCTAGTATTCTTATTTTTCTGCCACCTTCTTTGCAATCAAATGTATAAATCTGCACGTATCTCTGGTCCTCTGATAACATTGTTTACTATTATCATTGTGGTTGCTGTTATTAACAATTATGCCTTGATACATGATTATCCCTGGAAGTGGAAATTTTCATTTATACCACAACTTAAAGTTCCCTTTGCAGATAGTTACTTTAAAAATTTAAGTGTTCCAGCCTGATCCATTAAGACCTCTTTCTGTCAGGAAATATTTCTGCAATAGTGAGGTATCAAATATCAGCTTAATATGTTCAGCTGTAGCCTGTTGCTTAGCTGTTAGACAAGAGCCTCTGATCACTCTCCGTATCTATGACACATTTAATGAGAAACTCGCCTCCAACAGAGAGCTCTATCATATCAACTAAAGGGAAGAGAGTTTTAATCTGCAAGTATTTAGGGCCCTGTGGGGCATGTCTAGAATTACAGCCAACTCAAATTTCTTCTATCAACCAGTAATTACTTTGCTCAGAGTCTCCTGGGAAAGATCCCATTTTCTACACTGGGGATGGAGGGACTAGAGCAGAAGTAGACACCCCTTCCCATCCTCTTTTCTGACACATACATTGTCAATAGGAAGTCAGATACATAAGGATAATGTTCCCAAAACATTCACACAAGGCAAACTGAATCTCTTGGGTAAATTTTACATCTGAATTTATGAGATGTTGCAATAGTGCAGATTTAGGTCATCAATTACCAATGGATGTATCCCCTTTCCCACATCAATGCTTTAGCACTCACCAATAATTTATTAAGATATCATGGTTATCAGATAAGATAAAGCCTCTTATCTCTTTTCCATGCAGGCTCATCTTACTGGCTTTGAGTTAAGAAAAATGAATTTTAAAATACATAAAAATAAAATAATAGGAAGTACTATATTTAGAGTTGTGAAATATACAAAAGCCAAAGGAAAAAAATGTATCGATAGTATGCTTAATTTACAGTGTAAATCAAAATATCTCTTTAATATAATGAGTAAAAATAAAGTAATACTACATTACTTAATTGTAGAAAGTAACACTATATTAATAAAATAATAAAAGTAGTAAAGTAATAAAAATAACACTATATTACTTAATTGTAGAAAAAATCATATGAAATGTGTATTGTATATATAAATATATATACAAACACATACATACACACATACCTATATACAACCACACAGACACACACACATATACATATATATATACATATGTGTGTGTGTGTGTATATATATATATACACACACAGTGAGACAGAAAGTAAGACAAGAAGTTGGGTAGTCTGAGTGAATATTAATATAATTAATCTAAATTCTCATGTATATAGCAGGTAATTAATAAATCCAGTTTGAACAGAATGAATCACCACATTTTTAAATAAACCCATCATAAGGTAATGTATAATTAAGTGCCAGAATATACATCTAGAAGATTTCATAGTGAATGTATTCAGGGAATAGAACTGGAGATTAGGTTGGCTGGGATTAAGGATGGTTGATATTAACTGTACCCTTTCAGCATGATATTTTAAATTAACATGCATGTGGCACTGTTACTATTAAATTTGAAAAAAAATTATGCTTTCTGAGACATTTAAGCAATAGGCACTCCTAGAATAAGCAATAATGAAGCAAATGTAGTTTTTTTTAATTTGTTTCATAAGTAAAACTTTATGTTTCCAATCCACTGACACGGCAGAAACATAAACAGTTGTTTTAGATGCCGTCCCATTTCCAGATGTATCTAAACCCATCTGTAATGCTGAAAATTTTGGAGATGTGCTTTAAACAATTTATGCCCTCATCATTCGTCCTTTGAAGTTGTTGATTTTAGTTGTCTTATTTCCATCCGAATCATCTGTCAGTGTCTTCCTCCTGCTGCCTTCCTAAACACATTCAGATTATGTGTTTTCTATGCTACTTTGAGATTATAAGACATAATTGGAGTCAATTAAAATGTTTCAAGAATTCAGATTCCATGCTCTTTTGTGATACTGTGTTACTGTGGAATCTTTATTGTTGTTATTCAATTGTAAGTCCCAGAAATAATTCTGTAAAGTTATTTTGATGCTCTGTGCACACAGTTGCAACCATACCAACATGGGGATTTTGCCCTTTTGCTAAACTTAACAGGAATAGAGACCTGATCTTCTTTCTTCCTAAAAGCTTAAAACAAAAGAGGACTCAAAATTTACTGCCATCACTGGGCCTACCCTAAAAAGACACGACATAAAATACATTTTTTTCTCAAGCAGATTCCATTACTATCTACGTTTTCTTCATCTCCTCCAAGTATCCTTCCCCACGTCATCAACCTATCCCTAGGTATCACTGGGTAGCATCAAATTTGTAAAGAAAATGTATGTAATATAGGAGAAATACTTAAATCTGGTTTCCTATGCTATGGTTTCAAAACCCAAGAGTTTCTATATATTTGTTCTCTTTCTTTTATTTTTTATTCCTTCCATGGCATTTCAAAACCCAACAGTTTCTGTATATTTGTTCTCTTTCTTCTATTTTTATTCCTTCCATGAGGTCCAAAATGCAGAATGTTCGAATAGAATGAGAAAAGTAAAAATGTTGCAAAATTAAAATGCCCCAGCTACTCGGGAGGCTGAGGCAGGAGAATTGCCTGAACCTGGGAGGCAGAGGTTGCAGTAAGCCAAGATCGTGCCACTGCACTCCAGCTTGGTGACAGAGCTAGACTCCATCTAAAAAAAAAGAAAAAAAATTAAATGCCATCTCACTTTGCTTCCCAGCTTCTTATTCATTAAAATTCTGTGATTATTTTAAAAATTCACAGAAGGTCCTTCAATGTATAACCTTACCTTTGATTAGAAAATATTTTAACTGGTCATAAAACAAATCATGGAAAATGAAAATAATGAAAACTCATACTTAAATACAAGTTTTCTGCTTATCAAAATTTTCATTAAGACATTGAATAAGGAAGCCACTGCTTGAGATATGATGTTTCCATTATGTATATATTATATATAATATATAATATAATTGATATATATTATATATCAGTTATAGTACTTATAATACAGTAAAATACTGCAATGAATTTACTATAAGTTTATAAAAAACGACAAACAACTCAATATAAAAAAAGAGCCAAACGTAAGCTGGAACCTTAAAAGAAGAACATAGTTAATAAGTAGAAGAAAAAAATTTACACCACTACTCATCAGGAAAAATGCTAATGCAAACCACAGTGTAACAACCCTACAACCCATTCAGTATGGCTAAAATTAAGACCTCTAATCCTGAGTGTTCATAAAGATACAGAATAACTATTAAACAGTTTGGCAACTGGAAGAGCCTATTCAGGCTAACTACCCCCTATTGTATTAGCCCATTTTCGCACTGCTATAAAGAACTATCTGACACTGGGTAATTTATAAAGGAAAGAGTTTTAATTGACTCATAGTTCTGCATTGCTGGGGAGGCCTCAGGAAACTTACAATCATTGCGGAAGGTAAAGGAAAAACAGGCCCCTTATTCACAGGGTGGCAGGATAGAGTGAGTACAAGCAAGGGAAATGCCAGACACTTACAAAACCCTCAGATCTAGTGAGAACTTACTATCATGAGAACGGCATGGGGGAGACTGTCTCCATGATTCAATTACTGCCACCTGGTCCTGCCCTTGACACGTGCAGATTATGGGGATTACAATTGAAGATGAGATTTTGGGTGGGGATACAACCAAACTATATCACCTATAAACCAGTAATTACTCCTAAGTAAATACTCAAAAGAAATAAGTAATTATGTTTACTCAAATACATATATAAAAACGTTTGTACTGATTTTATTCATAATAGGGAAAAATTTTAAAGTCAAATATCTGATAGTGGTAAAATATATAAATAAAGTAGTGTGTATTCTTTAAAGGAATGTATTCATTAAATCCTATCTGTGAAGTGATGAAACAAAATAATGTAACAATAACAAGCAACAAACAAAAAAGAACAAACACAACGGAACTGCCATTACATACAAAATAGACTCATTTAACAGAAATATTGTTGAGTAAAGATTAAACAGACACTTATAAAATTGTGCTCTTAAGATTTTTAATCTTCAGTGTTAGAGTTAGGACTTGCAGTCAAAGAAACAAGGAAGCACTTTGCTTGGGTCATTTGATAAAGTTTTTTTTAAATTGTTCACCTTTATACTCATTATAAAAGGGAAACTCTGAAAGAAGTTATTTAGAGAGGAAGTAAGGTGAATTAATTTGTGTTTCCCTCACTTTAGGAGGCACCTGTTTTTAAAAGAATTTGGTTATAACTTAAACCTACTTCCCTGACTCTGGTAATCAAAAGTGTGCAGTTCCTCAGAAAAAGTTTACAAAAAATAAATGTTCAGATGGGCATTCAATCTCAAGGCACTGTTTGTGTTTCATAACCATCTCATATTTGTGTAAAAAGAAATAAAAGCTAATGTTTTTTAAAAAATATATAAAATTGGTACATACAAAATGACATGTCCAATCATCAAGCCTAAAATAAAAATGTAAGTTTGAGCACCCTCCCTAAAATATTCTATATCATATATACTGTTTGATCTTTTATTTGGTTGATTTCATGTGGAATTTTTAGGACAGAGAACAAGACAAAACAAAACTATATTTGAATCATAACATAAGAATAAAGAGCGTTGAAGTGAGTATTAACTCAAGGAATGAGTGAGGGTTGGAAATACAGAAATAATCAGAATGGCACAAGTGGTAACAGAACTATCAGAAGAAAAATTTTGATTTGCTTCTACCGTGTTGTAAAGAGCCTCATTAGAATGAATGCACATTGTAAATGCACTGAAATAAGCTAAGTCAAAGACATGTGTTTCTAATATTTTCTTGTTCTTGTCCTAGAATGTACTCACCTATTATTCGCCTAGAGAAATTAACTTATCCTTCTATAAAGCTTGATTATGCATTCCTTCCTGATCACCTTATTCATGCCTCCCACCACCATTTTCTGCTTCCTCCCCTCTTTCTTACACATTTATAACACACATTATTTTTATTTGGAACATTATACAATATAATGCTGAAATACCTCATCTACTAAGGAGCAAAATCCTGAAATCATTACATAGATCATTGTGTACCATTACATAGAACATAGATAGGTACTGTGGTACCTAATATTGTGATGTGTGCAATGTTGTCCCATAAAAAATTTGTTGACAAAATGATTAATTATTGACGCAAATTGACTACGTCACTACAAAGAAAGGGGGACTATTTATGGAGGAAAAAGATTAGTTACATTTTAGACTACAGTATACCACAGTATCTCCAGGTGTGCGGATGGTTCCTAACAGGCCATGGACTGTTACGAGTCTACAGCACAGGGGTTGGGGACCCCTGCTCTAGGCAACCAACTTCACTTTTATACTTATATTTATTTCTTATTTATATAATTTTATTATATAATAACACCTATTATTTTAGTCAATTTGAAAAAAAATATATAATAAAATAAAATGCACACAAATATATTTATAAAAATCACTAATCACTAACACTAAAATATTTTCCCTTTATCTTTGTACACATTTATGCCTTTAAAAGAATGTCAATTTTTTTAATTTCTCTTATTTTTCACTCAATATAAAATAGTGAAACTTTTTCTCAGATTTTATCAGTGTATCATCTTAATATGTAATATATGCTCATTTAATTATTCCACAATATTGTACATTTTCTCAACATTTTAAAATTGCAAGTTGTAATATGTATATGATACCTATGATTACATAGATATAATTATATGTAAATCTCTGGAAGTTTTATTTTTGTTTTGTTTTGTTTGAGTTGTAGTTTCGCTCTTGTTGCCCAGGCTGGAGTGCAATGGCACGATCTCAGCTCACAACAACGTCCGCCTCCCGGTTTCAAGTGATTCTCCTGCCTCAGCCTCCTGAGTAGCTGGGATTACAGGCAGGTGCCACCACACCTGGCTAATTTTGTATTTTTAGTCGAGACGGGTTTTCTCCATGTTGGTCAGGCTGGTCTCAAACTCCCGACCTCAGATGATCCATCAGCCTCGGCCTCTAAAAGTGCTGGGATTACAGGCGTGAGCCACCGCACCTGGCCAAATTTCTGAACGTTTATTATTTGTGTAAGAGTTTCCATACTTATCTTTTAACATTTGTATCTTCAGAAAAGATATTTCTCACTGAATATACTCTTTATAATTACATATTGAATGAGTAAATTACAATTAACCATGAAGAAATTTTGAGAAGCTAAATCACTTGATGCATGGCATATTACATTGATTACCAGAAACCTATCCTACCTAAGATGATTCGTATACAACAGTAATGGTAAATTCAACCTCCTTATCAGGGGAAAGTTTAGAAATTGTCATACAACCTAATTCTGGACAATCAGTCATGAAAAGAAGATGTCTATATCTTTGTTGATAGAAGTGTTTAACTTCTAAAAGGCTGGAGAGAAAGCAAATCCTTAATTACGTCATGGGCTGCTAAAACAATCAGTATTGCATCCTGCCCAGCACTGGGCTTACTGTTATATGAAATAATATATTTCATTACAGTTAAAGTAAACTTACACAATTTTTAAAAAATTTGCAACGTAAGGCATACTAACCAGGAGAATGGTTATAAGCATTTTTAAGACAATTATTCTACAACATTAGAAACACTCTCCAAAGGTAATCTACAAATTTACATTTCATTTTGCATGAATAAATTAATTGAATATGTGTCCTCACTCCCTCAATCACTGCTTTTAGAATTAAGTCCTTTACTTCTCAGTGCATTTTCTCTATAGCCTGTTTGTGCATAAAACTTTTTTTCCAATTGTAACTTACACCAATTGATACATTTAATACCAACTTTCTTGTAGTATACGATGAGTAATTATGAACACATGAATTTCTTATTTTAAACTAGATCAATTCATTCAGCTGACATTTATTGAGTAGACATGTGAGTTACATTGTGAGTCACTGAAGGAATAAATAAATGACAAGTTTCCTACCATCCAGGGGAGAGAGGATGATGGGCAACAATTGAAAGTTGTTATATTAAGCTTTATGTATATTTGTATTGTAGATTTTATCAAAAAATTGGCATATCTCCACAGAGTAAGGATCAAGAAGGGTGTTAAGTTGGGAGAGATATCTGGCATGGAGAATGTAGTCAATTTCAAAATATCATATGCCAGTTACTATTAACACTATTTAGACAATAGCAGCAGAGACAGAAAGGAAAATATCTAACAGAATAAAATTGGCTGAAAAGATGACTGAAAGTGGCTGGTGACAAAAGGACTTTACAAATAGAGTCATCACCTAAAAACAAGAAAGGAGGAATAGAAAGTTGAGAAGAGGAACATAGAAGTGAGGTTATAAGAATATGAGCAGGCTGGGCGTGGTGGGTCACACCTGTAATCCCAGCACTTTGGGAGGCTGAGGCAGGTGGATTACCTGAGGTCACGAGTTCGAGACCAGCCTGACCAACAAGGTGAAACCCCGTCTCTACTAAAAAATACAAAAATTATCCGGGCATGGTGCTGGGGGCCTGTAATCCCAGCTACTCGGGAAGCTGAGGCAGGAGAATCGCTTGAACCCGGGAGGGAGAGGTTGCAGTGAGCCGATATCATGCGATTGCACTACAGCCTGGGTGACTTAGCAAGACTCTGTCTCAAAAACAAAAAACAAACAAACAAACAAACAAAAAAAGAATATGAGCTGAGATTACAAAATATTGTGAAGACAGCTTTCCTCATATTATAGATGTAGCAAGATAAGAATAAATTTTGTAAATAAGTATTTCTGAATGTATATTTCTTTTTAGAGACTAAGAGGTTACGTTAAAACATATATATGAAAAATACAAATCTAATTTACGATGGACTTATGAAAAATTGGCATTTTTATCAATTTCCCTCCAATAAGAACTTCAAGGAAATCAAATTTTCACAAAATTTTAAATTAATTGCATGTTAGTTACGTGTATGTGTCTACAATGAATACATATATGTATACATTTAACACTAATTGTCCTTTAGCTGGATCCCAACTTCAGGGAATATTATATGATATAAAATGAAATTTTATGAATATAAACATCTCTAATTGTAACAATGTTGTCAAGCATCAGGATTTAAAAAACACTGTAATGCAAGTAATAAGATGACTCTAGTAATGGCGAACAACTATTTCGTATTTACTATAGATAACATGCAGAGCAGTATTCTATTTTAGAAACAGTATATAATTAAGCCCTTCATGCTTAATCTATGAAATAGGCCATATTTATAACATAAAGAAATTAAGGAACATTGAACATTAAGCATACATTAAAGATAGAACATATATTAAACATATATTAAAGACAGAACTAGGAATAAACCCAAAATTTTTTAATATTAAAATCATGTAAGTAAAGGCAGGAAAAAGAAGAAAATAACTGCAGGATTAATCTAAAAATAAATTAGAAAACAAATAAAACTATGGAGGGAAAAACAAGGGATCTCTCTAGGATATAACTGGTTCCTTAATTATGTTTAAATCACGGTTTGGTCCATAAAAAAACTAAATATATTTATAACAACTTTTACAAAAATTTATAATGAATCTGTTTGTGGTTTCATTTACTTTCTCACTGTCTTTTCATGGCCAAAATCAGTATTAAGTTCATAGAACCAATTTTGGATGTTAATAATCTTCATAAAATAATAATATATCATAATATAGTCTTTATTATGGAATAAAAATGACTGGTATTTCTAGATATAAAAAGAAGTAAAAACAAAAAGGAAAGATAGGATGGCATGCACAGTAAGAAGAGAGAAACAGATACAGACAGGCCTGGAGATAAAGGAGCGAGAAACATGAAAACACCTGCATGAATGACATAGGTGGATAGTGCACAAAACACGGCAGGCTTTCTAAAATCCTACTTTAAATTTACTGCCATAATTGATAAAAATTACATACAAAAACTCTGATTGACTGTCATTTATCATGTAAATTGAATATCAAAGCTTAGGCTTTAGCTTTCTTAATTCATTTATCATATAAATTGAATATCAAAGCTTAGGCTTTAGCTTTCTTAATTCAATAACATACTTACAGGGAGGAGCTGTCAAATAAGCTTAAATTTACTGTAGGAAGGTATTTCTGTGCTCAAAAAGTCCTTCTTATATGTATTAGATGCTATTTCTTTTCAATTTCTTATTTTTGTAAGAATATTTTCTTCACACAGTCATAGATCTGCTTGGTTCTGACTCCATATATGACAGGATTGAGCATTGGTGGCACCACAACATAGAGATTGGCTAGGAGTATATGGATATAGCGGGGCACATTTTGGCCAAAGCGATGAGTCACAAAGGAAAAGAGGGCTGGTGTATAGAAGGCAAGGATTACACACACATGTGAACCACATGTGCTGAGGGACTTGAGTCAGGCTTTACAGGAAGGAAGATGGAAAACAGCGTGAAGTATTTGCACATAAGAAAGGGCAATGGCTATGATGTCGAATACTAGGATTGAAATAGCACCCAAGCCATAGATTATATTGATCTTGATACTGGAACAAGACAGATGAGCAAGACCCATGTGCTCACAGTTGGTGTGGGGAATGACATGATCCCCACAGAAGGGCAACCGCAAAATGAGAAAAACAAATGGAATAACAGACATAAATGACCTCACTAACACACCAAGACCAATCACAGAAACAGCCTTTTTGGTGAGGATGATGCTATATCGTAGCGGGTTGCAGATGGCCACAAAGTGGTCATAAGCCATTCCCACGAGGGCTGCTGACTCCATGCCAGTAAAGTTGTGGATGAAAAACATCTGGATGAGGCAGGCATCACAGATAATCTCCCTGAGGCTAAACCAGAAGATCCCAAGCATCTTAGGGATGGTAGCTGTTGAAAGGCCCAAGTCAATGGTGGCCAACATGGCCAGGAAGTAGAACATGGGCTGGTATAGGCTGCTGTCAGTCTTGATCACAAGTAGAATAGTGAAGCGCCCTATGAGTGCAATTATGTACACAGCACAAAAGGGAAAGCCGATCCAGATGTGAAGTGTTTCTAGCCCTGGGATCCCCAGCAACAGGAAGGAGGAGGGGTGAAACTGGGTGTTATTGGGAAGGAACATCCTGCTTGTGAATGCATAAGTCCATGATCTTTATGACTGTATGTGTGCCAATCAGCAGGAAAACAGGTAAAATTCTGCAGAATTGAAAACCAAAAAAATTCACACGATTAGAAATGTACTACATAAAGAACAATCGAAAATGTGAATTCTCAGTGAGAAGGGTCTGGATGAATTTAAGCAGTGGATGGTAATAAAAAGTTTGACATAACATATTCCTCTGTTTTAATGCTTTTCTTCTCATCAGTTTGCAATGGTCTCATCACTGATATTATGCTACAATTTTATCTTAATACCTATTTCATTTATTACCTTCTCTTACCATCACACAGAATTTACTTTCAATTCAGACATACATAGAGTTGTCAGGCCCCATAGTGATTTCTATTTGTTCCATTTGGTTAGATGGCAACACACAGGTGTTAACATACAAAATGGGTAAGAAGTTGTTAATGAAAACACAGATTCATTAAGATGTAATCTAAAATATTGAAAATATTTTTTCAGTGCAGGTTAATTTTATTAATACATAATAGTTGCACATAATTATGGGGTACATGTGGTATACTGATACATACGTGTAATGTGTAAAATGTGTAATGATCACATCAGGGTAATGAAGATATCCATAATCTCCAACATTTATCATTTCTTTGTGTTAGAAACATTCCAAATCTTCTCTCATGGCTATTTTGAAATATACTACAAATTTTTGTTAACTATAATTACCCTACTGTGCTATTAAACACTATAACTTATTTATTTTATCTAACTATATTTTTGTACCCATTAACCAACCTCCCTTTGTCCGCCCTCACCCTTACACACTTCCCCACCTCTGGTAACCATCATTCTACTCATTATTTGCATGAGATCAATTTTGTTTTAGATACAACATATTAATGAGAACAGGAGACATTTGTCTTTCTGTGCTTAGCTTACTTCAGTTTACATAATGTCCTCTAGTTCTATCCATGTTTTTAAAGAATTAAACTTGGCCCATTTATTATTATTCATTCATCATTATTACACAATAATGAAGTAAATGTAGTAAAACAGCAGCATCAACTACCATTTATTAATGTACTGTTTCCTACTTGAAATTCTATGTTAGAATCTGTGCAAATAGCAGATATCATCTCTGTAAACATATGGGAGAGCATATTTAACCATATTTTACAAAGTGTCTGAGCCTCAACTAGTTTAAGGACTCATCAAACTATATGCATGAAATATCTATAATTATAGAATCAGAAAAAGGAAGTAGGAAAATAATGAATTAAAATGGAAAGAGAGTAGAAATAAGGAAGAGATGATTTGTATCTTATTTGAGTCATATTTGCCAAACTTCCCCTCCTCTCACACACAGTAACACAGGTAATCTCTTTTAAACACACATGCGTCTGAATAAGAGATATCAGTATCTTTATTTTAAATCTGAGACACTTAGATTTTGAGTGTTTAAGATAGATGAAAAACATGTTGAAGAAAAGACTAGAAAGAGAAAAATACAATCTGAGCATTGAGTTATTAGAAGTAAAAAAAAAATATATATATATCATTTCTAAAGCTACCTAAATTGTTTTTACATATTTTCATGTACCTTATGGCATTTGTTAGAGGAGTATTTTCAAGGCATTCAATCATTCATTAAGTATAATTATTATATAGTAAAAAGTCTTTTGTTCATTTTTTATCATTGGAGGATTCCAGAGCAGCAATACTAATTATGACTATAGTTTCCAGAAGACAATCAGGATGTGGGCTAAACATTAACATGAGAGAAGCAAAGCCAAGAAGAGGAGGTTCCATGATAAACAGGTGATGGGAGGAGCACTGTAATATGGATGGGGAAATAGGGAACTCCTAGAAGGAAATGGTAAACATTTGAAAAGAGGAAAGGCTAAGAAAAGTTGATGTTATTTGCATGAGACGCAATGTGGAATGTGTAGAACAGTCTTTCTTGTATAATGTTTTGACCTTGTAATTGAACAGTGAATAAGAAGGTGTGACATGGACAACAAAAGGTGTGAAAGTAGGATTCAATTATAAAAGCATTTTTTTGGCTGGGCGTGGTGGCTCAAGGCTGTAATCCCAGCACTTTGGGAGGACAAGGCAGGTGGATCACGAGGTCAGGAGATCGAGACCATCCTGGCTAACAGGGTGAAACCCCTTCTCTACTAAAAACACAAAAAATTAGCCGGGTGTGGTGGTGGGCGCCTGTAGTCCCAGCTACTCGGGAGGCTGAGGCAGGAGAATGGCGTGAACCCGGGAGGCAGAGCTTGCAGTGAGCCGAGATAGCCCCACTGCACTCCAGCCCGGGCAATAGAGTGAGACTCCATCTCAAAACAAAACAAAACAAACAAACAAACAAACAAAAAAACACTTTTGTGTGTGTGTGTGATTTATCACTGTATATGCCAGTGGGTTTTTTTCTAATTCAATTAAACTTTCTGTATTCCTGAATAACATCTCTGAAGAACAGAAATACAGGCAATAGTCTCAGAAAGCTACAAAAACTGTATTTTTCCTTTTCAAACTTCTCATATGTAATAGAATCTCAGTAAATAAAAAAATTACTTTAGCTAATAAGTGCAAAGCTGATCATTAAAGGAAATAAATAAGCTATATATTTGTGTGTTTTTTGTAAGAGAGGTAGAGGACATTGTATTCGGTGTTTGCAAATAAAATAATGGGGAAATTATATCTGTCAACTCAGATAATTATTTCTATAGTAAGACAGGGTCTGAATAGTTTGTTAAGTAGACAGTGACATGAATACCACATAGAAATAGTCAGAAGACACACAGAGCAATGAAATTGTGTAATCTTTTTATGTCATTATCATTCAGTGGACTGGCTAGATAAAAAATCTAAGGTGTATCCTCTCCATAGTATTAAAAATACTATTGAGTCTACATCTCTAGTATCTTTAAAAACAATAAATTTGGCTCCATCCTATCGGGACTAGTTCAAACCATTATTGTGTCTTCAGTTGATAATAACACAGTATTTTGCAGTGCTTAGAAGTGTGAACTCTGCAGTCAGAATAAGAGTGTTGAAACCCAGCTTCATAATTAATTCATTCTGTAGTCAAAGCAAATGAACATTACCTGTTAGCTATGTGACTTTGCAGACATAATTTAACATCTCTATATCTCATTTCCTACATCCATAAAATAGAGATAATAAATAACCCTAAATATGTAATCAGTTTTAAATAGATATTTATTTTAAGACACTTAGACCATATTCGAAAGATACTATGCTATTATTTCTTTAGATGTGAAAAGACTTATTTTTTCTAAAATGTAACCCAAATCAATTTAGGCTGAAATCCAAAATTTCTCCTAGTATTATATGACCCTTCTGAGCCTTGATTCTTCTTATTCTTTAAGCTTCATCCTTAGTCTTCTTTCCTCAAAGCTTTTGTCTTCTCTTCCTCCCTTCTATTCTCCTCTTTCTCTTCGTCTATCACTGTGTCCTAAAAATGCACCTGTGAGCTGGGAGACAGGGAAGACTCACCAGGCTTAGCTCCAGGATAAAATCTGTGTTGCCTGTGTTGTTTCAATAGGCAAAGGCTTTATGAGGGCACCACTCCTTGCCTGAAAAGAGCTTTCAATAGAAAATCCCCCAGAGCCAGTTTTGTTAAAGACACAATGTCTCTAAGGATTCTAGTTTACAATCTGGCCCTGACTCATGATTCATGAATCATTAATAAACATCATTTAGATCTTTAGACTAAATTGGTTGAAAAATTTTTAACAGAAATAAAAGGCTAAATGTATGGATTGATGAAATGTCAACTAATAAAAAAACAAGTATAAGGGATGACATTATTGTGAGGCTGAAAGCCAAAGAAATTTACATTTCAGTTACCAAGGGTAAGAGAAATGTCAAAGTCTTCTTAGCTGGTGTTGGCTGACTCACATGTTTGAAAAAACAATAAGGCATGAAAAATGTTAACCTTGAATCTGGAAGAGAGAGCTATTAGGGAGCTTTGGCTTCTAAGGAGATGATGACAAATAATTTAGGTTTAGGTCAGCAAAATGGAAGAATAGACAGTCCTGGTACTCCTCCCTCACAAAATCACAAATTTAATAACTGTCCATGGACAAAAATATCTTTGTGAGAGATCTGGAATGTAAGAGAGAAATTGCAGCCCTGTAGTGGAGCAGAGAATGAGAAAAGGCACATTGAAGAAGATAAAAGGAAAAGCTTCCCTTGCCCAAGTTACCCTCCTCCCTACCTGGCACAGTGCAATGCCAAGAGAGATCCCCTCAGCCCAAGAGTTTCTTCACAGGTGAAAGAGGGTGCAAACAAAATGAGGCAGATATATATGCAATGGGATACTACTTAGGCTTAAAAAAGAAAGAAGTTTGTCATTCGTAACAGCATGTATAAATATGGAGGTCATTTTTAAGTAAAACAATTAATTCATATAAGAGCAAATGATATGTGATCTCATTCATATGTATGTGGAATCTAAAAAAGTCAAACTCATAGAAACAGAAAATAAAATGAGTAAAAATGATGGTTACAAGAGGCTAAGAGGTGGGGAACTGGAGAGATCTCATTAAGGACACAATCTCTGTTACGTAGGAAGAATAAGTGCAAGAGATCTGTTGTACATCATTATGACTACAGCTGACGATATAATATATATTTGAAAATTGCTAAGTGAGTATAGTTTAGGTGTTCCCATATCCACAAAATGATTAACATGTGAAGAAGTGTAGCCTAATACATCTATTCCACAACATATTTACATATATATATATAGTACATCATGTTGTGCACCATGAAGATACACCATTTTTATTTGTCAATTAAAAAAAAAAGTAACAGAGAGTGAGCCTGGCCAAAGATATATATGTGTACACACACACACACACACACACACACACACACACACACACACAGAGAGTCAATTCTCATTCTTTTCAGTAGCTATGTTGTGTAACTGAGAGAGGAGAAAAAAAAAAGCTAGGTAGACAGAATTAGGGCAGGTACTTAGTGAAATTCTTTCAAACAAAAGAGCAGCCTGGGGAAAAATAAAGCTACAGACACAGATAAGGGCGTAAGGCCCAACATAGAAACGTCTCTGCCCTTTGTGTAATACCTCGGGCTCCAGGGAAGAAAAACTTCTTTCCTCCCTTTTTACAGACATGTACACGGTGAGCTCTGTTGAGCATATTTCTCTCTTTTTTAGAGAAGACATGCCCGCAGCTGTGCAGATAAGGGAAGTTACACAGGCAGCTACACAGATAAGGGAAGATTCTTATAAAAACAATTGTATTCAACTGTGAAACAGCAACCCTCTTGGACCCCCTCTCAGCTGCAGAGAGCTTTCCTCTTTCATTTATTAAACTTCCGCTCCAACCTCACCCTTGGTGTCCACACTCCTTATTTTTCATGATCTTGAGACAAAGAACTCTGGATAACACCTCAGAAAACAAGACTACTTCATAACCATTGCCATGAACACGGAATTAACAAATATGGAACCATTCATTACTCCTCCTAAGGTTAGCTTTCTACAAGCTGCTGGTCACAATATTTTTGTCAGTCAATCAACACATAATCTTGTTTTGTGGGTAGTGCTGTTTAAAAACATATTATTTAATATGTAGTTCTTAAAAGTAAGTAATTGCACAGCTTTTTAATAATTTAAAGCCAGGGGATTTGGAAGCCATTTGCATTATAAAGGTCTACTTGGTAGTGTCCTTGTATAATAAGCCAGTCTCATCAGCATTGAAAACCTGCTCTTTCACGTAATTATTTTCCTGTATAACCCTTAGCAGGCATTTAAAAAATTCTGTAGCTTCCTGATATGCAGAACCTACCTCAGTTGCAAGATTAAACTTTTTCATGCCTTATCGTCTTTTCAAACGTATATGCCAGCCAACACCAGCCAAGGAGATTTTGACATTTTTCTTACCCTGGGTAACTTTAATATAAATTTCTTTGGCTTTCAGCCTCACAACAATGCTGTTGCCTACACTTATTTTTTTTATTAGTTTACATCTCATTAATCCACAAGTTTAGCCTTTTTTTCCTCCATTAAAAAACCTAATTTCAACAAATTTAAAGATCAAAATGGCTTTTATTAATGAGTTGTGAAGCATGCGGCATCCCATTTAAAAATAGAAGGATGCCTGGTAAGGTGGCTCATGCCTGTAATCCCTGCACTTTGGGAAGCTGAGGCGGGTAGATCACTTGAGGCCAAGAGTTCAAGAACAGCCTGGCCAACATGGCAAAAACCCATCTCTACAAAAAATACAAAAATTAGCACGCCTGTAGTCCCAGCTAGTCAGGATGCTGAGGCAGAGACTCACTTGAACTCCAAAGGTGGAGTATGCAGTGAACCGAGATCACACCACTGCACTCCAGGCTGGGCGACAGAGTGAGACTCCATCTCAAAAAAAGAAAAGAAAAGAAGTAAAAGGAGTTCCATTGGATAGGGTGTAACAGTTGTTTTTTGCAAACCAGGTTGAGGGTTGAGCAGGAACAAGGAAACAGAATAACACAAAATGAAAATTGGTCAATATTAAGTTACTTTTAATTTCTTCCTAAGAGTTAAAGCAGAGGGTATTTATTAATCATGCCAGCACAGACTGGGCCTTTTCTGATTGTTTCCTGTGACTATCTTATTTTTAGGAAAAACTGGTCTGGTTGGGGATTTCTGTGATTCTTTTTTTTTTTTTTTTTTTTTTTGAGACGGAGTCTCGCTCTGTCGCCCAGGCTGGAGTGCAGTGGCGCGATCTCGGCTCACTGCAAGCTCCGCCTCCCGGGTTCACGCCATTCTCCTGCCTCAGCCTCCCGAGTAGCTGGGACTACAGGCGCCCGCTACCACGCCCGGCTAATTTTTTGTATTTTTAGTAGAGACGGGGTTTCACCGTGTTAGCCAGGATGGTCTCGATCTCCTGACCTCGTGATCCTTTAGAGTTTCTGTTTGATTACATGGTACCTAGCACAAGTGACTCCATTTTGGTTTAGTTTGTTGGGACCTAGTGCAGGAGCTCACTTCAGAACAATGGCTTCTCATAAATTTTATTTAACACACATTTTTCCACACCTTTATCACACATCATAAATGCTACTGAAGCATTTTCCAAAGTGACATCATATACAGCTAGATAAACTTCCTTCTTTTTCAAAGGAAACTGTATTGTTGTTCATCAGCTTTGAACTCACAACCAACAGCACTATAACTCATTTTTGGATGAAGCTTACCTAGCAACGTTATTTTCTCCATAAGGCACAAGATGGCCTCCTTGCAATTGGAAAAACTTGATAGCACTTCAGCATTACACTTCAGGGCCATTTAAACAGTGGGATCATCAATAAGAAGCAAAACATGAGAAAAAGGTTGCACTAAGTAAAAAAGGACATTTGTTAATAGCATAAAAGCTGAAACTAGAAATCATTGCTTCCTTGTTCAACCTCAGCTGAAAATTATATTTTGATGTATTTCATATAATTAATTTCTATAACATTTATTCTAAAGAATCATGAAGGAAATAGAGTGTATATCACAACAAAAAGCTTGGATTATGCAATAAACTTGTAAAGTCTAATATGTTTTAAATATTTAACATAAATATGAAAATTATGAAATAAAATTAAACCTAATATTAATGTAACATGAATGATGCCAGTGTTTTAATATTTGTCTATATTAAAAATAAAAAGCGTTATTTAAAACAAAGAACTGAGGCATCATCTTTCTTTTCTCAATATATACATACGATAATTTTAAGAACCAACAATTCTGACATTCAAGCAATCCTGCTGAGAGACAGTCCCCAGAGACAGTTGAGGACCCAATGCTTCCTCCTTCTTAATTGTCCTCTTATTAAGGTATTAGCTCTAAAGAGTTACCCCCAAAGGCTTCTTTCTCTGACACTATGGGGAGGCCATCACCACTCCAAGACCATGGGGCCTTAGACACCTGGAAACTATCTATAACTGAGCTGATTTGGAAAAGCTGTAGGTCATAAGAGAACAGGTGGCTCCCTCGGGCCAGGTGGATTTTCATCCTGATATGCATGGGACCGCTAGTGAGGTAAAGCGGTGCTCACTTGCTCTTTTATGTCATAAGCTAGGCCTGCAATAGGCCGATGGAAGGTTTCAGGACTCTATTCAGAGCGGACAGGCTCTGAAAAACAGGCTTGTTTAAGATTTCTTGGGTCAGCTGCTACCATTTGGGCTTGTGGGCTTGGAAGAGGGTGCATCTATATCACAAGCAGTGGAATCTCTACTTTGTTATGAGTTGAGACCAGACTGTAACTTTCATTTAGGGTATGTTTGAGTACGGGCTTTTCTACTTAGTTAAGTGCATCAAATGAAGGCTGATGACAAAAATAATGGAAGTGTAGATGTATCAGCCCTATATTCTTTAGAAATCCATTACATTAATGCAATGTCTCCTGAAGCTCAAAGCACTCTGCAATGCATTATGTCATTTTACATTTAAAAGCACTGTGGGGTATACATCTTCTAAGGTTTAATGTAAAGATCACAAACTTTATACTTATACTTGGGTTCAAATTCCAGCTCCATAAGTTCATGGTAGAAGAGCTTTGAGCAAACCAATTGAACATTCTTAGCTTATTTTCTTATTTGTGTCATAAATATGATTACCTACCCAAAACCTTCCTTAAGGGATAATGTCAACAATGCAACTAACATAGTGGTTAGCAGCAATTCATGTTGTTTTACATTATTTTTGTGAAGAGATGCATACAGGATGTAAGATTTAGCCAGAGACATCATAAACCATTATATTATTCCTCCTCAAAAGCATATGTGACTTTCCTTCCCTTCATTCCCTCATTTTCTTCATTATGTAGTTAAACTAGGAATAAAATGCTGACAATTAAATTTTGTTGGAGACTGATTCCAGAGTATGTCTCAAAACTTAACATGATAATCAGAAAATTGTTAATGCAATACAGTGTTTGGGATTAGTGTAGACTATAATAAATTTATACTGATTCAAAGTAATTTCAAACCAGTTGTCTTCAATTTATGTTGAAACAATTTACCAGAAAATAATTATATTTCCTTACATTTCCCTTTCCTCTTTTTCTTTATTCATTCAGTGGAACAACAAGCAAATATGTGGAAAGACAATATTTCTGTCAAATAAAAATTTTCAGTATTATAAGGAAGATAAGTATGCAGAAATGTAGAATACAATATGACAAAATATAGAAGATGGGTAAGCGCAAATATCACAGGGACACCAAGAAGGGGTGTTAAAGGTGGCTTGAGGTAGTTAGAAAAATAATCTCAGAGGTTTTGATATGTGAGTAGAGTTTTCTACAATTCTGATTACAATTATTAAGGGTTTTATTTTATTTTAATTTTTTTAGGATAAGATCTCGCTGTGTCTCCCAGACTGCAGTGCAAGTGGTGCAAACATAACTCACTGTAGCCTCGAACTCCTGTGCTCAAGTGATCCTCCCACCTTGGCTTTTGAGTAGCTGTGACTACAGGTGCGTGCCACCACACTCAGCTTATTAAGGGATTTTATGTGTGAGAAATATTATGAAGAACAAAGACACAGGGTGATCATTTTCATAAATTGAGTAGATGACCAGTTCTCTATGCAGAGAGATATGGGGAAAGGTATTTTGAATGGTTAGAAAGATTTTTGAATATTTTACAAGAAAAGGGAGTCCATATCTTACTTGTAAACTCCTAGTTTGTATTTTTAAAATAAATACAATGGTAACATTGCATTGTTCATATACTTACATTAAACACTCTAAGTAATACATACATACATTGAATACATTGACTGTTAAGTAAGTCAAACCAGTTATATGTCTAAATTGCACTCTATGCTCATTTCCATTTATCACTCATTTTACACTCCTACTAAATTGGGTATGTATTGTTTTAGATTGTTTTTTGAGTTTATGAAATTTTCAGTACAAATGCGATTAAATTAAATACATACCTGAAGGTTTGAATTTTTTGTATATTTCAATATGAATGAAAGCAATTAAATTCTGCTCATTTTTATTTGAATAGCTTTCATATCTGTTTATATAATGTCATATTAATGTTAAGTGCTGCTGAGTATAGTATACTATAAAAGTACCACATATCTTTTAACAACACTTTTTTATTTTATTTTTACTTTACATGTAATAATTGTATATATTTCTAAAACACAGAATGCTATTTTGATACGTTTATAATGTGTAATGATCAAGTTAGAATATTCATCATCTCAAATATTTATTACTTGTGTTGAGAACATTTAAAATCCTATTTTCTAGCTTTTCGAACAATAAGTTATTGTTAACTACATTGACCCTACAATGCTATAGAACACTAGTACTTTTTCCTCTTATATAATTGTAATTTTGTATCCATTAACAAGCTCCTCTTTATCCTTCCCTTCCCCATATCTATCCCAGAGTGTAATAACCAGAATTCTATTCTCTGCTTATATGAGGTCTTTTTATTATTATTTGGCTACCGCATGAGGGAGAACATGTAGTATTAATTTTTCTGTGCCTGACTTACAGTGTCCTCCAGGTTCATCTATGGTACCACAATGACAGAATTTTATTGTTTTTTACAGCACAATGAATAATATTCCATTGTGTGTGTATACCACATTTTTATTATCCATCCATCTATTGATGGAAATTTAGGTTAATCCCATATCTTGATTATTGTGAATAGTGCTGCAATAAACATGGATGTGCAGATGTCTTTTCTATACAGTGATTTTATTTTCTTTGGATAAATAACTACTAATGGAATTGCTGGATCATATGGTGGTTCTAGTTTTAGTTTTTTGATAAACACTTGTACTCTTTTCCATAATGGCTGTACCAATTTACATTCCTGCAAACATTTTGTGAGAGTTCCCTGTCCTCCACCTTCCTGCCAGCATTCATTATGTTTTGTCTTTTTGGCAATTGCCATTCTAACAGGGTGAAATGATAGCTCATTGTAATTTTGATTTGCACTTATCTGATTATTAGTGATGTTGAACTTTTTTTATATAGTTGTTGGTCATTCGTATGTCTTCTTTTGAGAAATGTCTATTCAGCCATTTTGCCCATTTTTAAATCAGATTATTTTTTTCCTGTTAATTTGTTCGAGTTCCTTACATATTCTGGATATTAGTCCCTTGTTGGATGAATAGTTTGCAAATATTTCCTCCCATCCTACAAGTTTTCTCTTCATCCTGATGATTGTTTCCTTTGCTATGCAGAAGCTTTTTAGTTTTAGTCCCATTTGCCTATTTTTGTTTTGTTACCTATGTTTTTGTAGTCTTAGCCATAAAATCCTGGCCGAGACCAGTGTTCTGAAGGATTCCGCCTATGTTTTACTCTTGTAGTTGTATAGTTTCAAGTGTTACACTTAAATCTTTAATTCATTTTTAGTTAATTTTTGTATTTAGTGGGAGACAAAGGTCTACTCTTAGTACTATGCATACAGATATCTGGTTTTTTCCAGCATCATTTATTGAAGAGGGTGTCCTTTCCCCAGTGTTTGTTCTTGACATCATTGTGGAAAATAAGTTGGCTATAAATAACATGGATTATTTCTGGGTCCTCTATTCTGTCCCATTGGTATATGGATTTGTTTTCATGCCAGTGCCATGCTGCTTTTGTTACTATAATTTTATAGATTATTTTGAAGCCAGGGACTCTAATGTCTCTGGTTTTGTTCCTTTTTCTCAGTGATGTCTTGACTTTTTAGGGTCTTCTGTGATTCCACATGGATTTTATTTTACTTTTTAATTTATGTGAATAACATCATTGATGTTTTGATAGGAATTGTACTGAGTCTGCAGATTGCTATGGGTATTATGGTCATTTTACTAATAATAATTCTTTCAATTCTTGAGCATAAGATGGCCTTCCATTTTTTTCTTGTGTGTCTTATTCAGTTTTTTTCATTAGTGTTTTGTAACGGATGTTGAGTTTTACGAAATGCTTTTCCTGTGTCTGTTGAGATAATCACAGGGTTTTTTTCCCTTTATTCTCTTGACTGGATGAATCATATTAATTGATTTGCTTATGTTGAACCATTTTTACATCCTTAGGATAAATACCACTTGATCATGGTGTATTATCTTTTGATGTGCTATTGGATTCCATTTGATATAATGGTTTGCCTATTTTGTTAATTTTTCAAATAAACAATTTTTGTTTCATTTATTTTTATATTTGTTTTGTCTCTATTTTGTTTTGTTCTGCTCTCATTTTTATTGTTTATTTTCATCTACTAATTTTTTGTTTTGTTTGGTCTTACTTTTCTAGATCTTGAGGTGCATGATTAGGCTGCTTATTTGAAATCTTTCTATTTTTTGATGTGGGTGTATACGGCTATTAACTTCCCTCTTAGAACTGCTTTTGCTGTAACCAATAGGTTTTGGTATATTGCTCTATTTTCTATCTATATATGTTCTACTATATTGTCTCTCTATCTATATGTTCATATTCTATTTTCATTTATTCTCAGAAAAT
Source organism: Homo sapiens (assembly GCF_000001405.40). Taxonomy (NCBI): domain Eukaryota; kingdom Metazoa; phylum Chordata; class Mammalia; order Primates; family Hominidae; genus Homo; species Homo sapiens. The sequence continues at coordinate 5,080,172 of NC_000011.10, read as the reverse complement.
TTTTAATTTCATTCTTAATTTCTTTATGTAACCAATGGTCTTTCAGGTGCATGTTGTCTTATTTTCATGTATTTATACAGTTTCTAAAGTTTCTTTTTATTAATTTTAGTTTTATTCCATTATGATCTAAGTACATACTTGATAACTATTTGGGTATATAACTTAATATGGTTTTAATTTTTAAAATAATTATTGAGACTTGTTTTGTCACCTAATGTGTGGTCTATGCTAGGATATGCTCCATGTGCTGAAGAAAATATGTATTCTACTTCTACTAGATGAAATGTTCTGTACATTTGGTTTAAGTTCATTGTTTCTTTGTTGATTTCTGTCTAGATGATCTCTCCATTGCTGACAGTAGGTTACTGAAATCCCCAACTATTGTTACATTGCTGTCTATGTCTCTCTTTAGCTTTAGTAATATTTCCTTTATATATCTGGATGCTCCAGTGTTAAGTATATATCTAATCTATCTATATATTTGTTATATCCCCTTACTCAATTGGTCTTCTTATTATAATATAAATACCTTCTTTTTCTCTTATATTTTTTTTTGACTAAAATCTATTTTGTCTAAGTGCAGGTACTGCCACATACTATTGGTTTTGTTTGTGTGGAATATCTTTTTCCATCTCTTCACTTTCAGTTTATCGTGTACTTAGGTAAAGTAAGTTTCTTGTAATCAGCACAGTTGGGTTTTACTTTTTATCCACTTATCCATTTTATATTTTTGATGGGGGACAGAATTTAGATCACTCTCATTCAAGGTTGTTATTGATAGGTGAGGGCTTACTTCAGTAATTTTTTTGTTTCTGATTGTTTTTATAACCTTTGTTTCTTTCTTCATCTCTTACTGTTTAACTTGGCAGTTTGGTGGTTTTCTGGGCTAATAATGTTTGCTTATTTTCTCATACTCATTTGTATGTTTGCTCAACCATTGATTTTTATACTTTTATGTGTTTTCATGTTGGTAGATACCATCTTTTTACTTCCAGATCCAGGACTCCTCTGAGTATTTCTTATAGGACTTGCCCAGGGATAAATTTTCTAAGATTTTGCTTGTCTCAGAAAGACATTATTTCTCCTTCATTTCTGAAGGATAGATTTGCCAAATGTAGTCCTTTTATCTGGCTTTTTTTCCTTCCATCACTTCAAATATACCATTCTATTCTCTCCTTGCCTGTAAAGTTTCTGCTGAGAAGTCTGCTAAGAATCTAGGAGATTCCCTTATATTTGACTTGATGCTTTTGTCTCTCTCTCTCTTTTCTTTGAATTATCACTTTAACTATTATTTTATTTGTGGACATTTTGAGTGATTAAATATTTATTCTAATATAGGCAGTTTTCCAATGAGAATCACTGTATATATTTTGATATATATATGTAAAATATTACCTAAGATGTCAATTATTTTTGCCAGAAATATGATTTTTAATAATAATAATGGTTACTACGAATCTTACTCTAAAAGTTGTGCCAATTTACACTCCTACCAATTATTCTTGAGTTTATTTTTAACTCAAGCTTCACTTACTCTTGCTATAATCAATCTTGTTATTTTATTTGTTAAATACAATGCATAATTTGTGTCATATTCATTTTAATTTTTAATTTCCTGATTGCAAGTAAGACCTATTTTAAGTATTTGGACACTTGCATTAATATCATTGTTAATCTTTTCTTTACCTAAATTCTCTACCTATTTCCCATTGGGGAAATGTATCTATATTGTGTAAAGGAAAAGTTAAATAGAAAGAGTGAAGGTAAAAGTGAATGAGGAGTATGAGAATGCTGATAGGAACACAAATATAGATAAAAGCACAGAAAATGTTTTTTAAGGAAAAAAGGGAAATACGTTAAAATGCATTAGCCCAAGGATATATACATAAATCTAATTTTAATTAGAACAGGGTAACATGGAGAAAGTCTGGTTATGTTAATTGTCTTTTTCAGGTAAGAGCTCTTTTGCTTTGTGTAAGTGCATTGGGGACAGGTTAACTAATAAGAGAAGGCTATAATTTGGGCAAGCTTCTTTATGGCATTTACAAATGGTGAGGGGGAGAGCTTTCAAGAAGTAGTCATATTCAAATTAATGGTGATTGTATTTGCTAGTATTATATACAGAATCATTCCCATCCTCTGTATCTTCACAAGTATAGACTGTCACTTAATTATGGCAATTCATCCTTTTAATTGCATATGGGGGTTCCAGAATCAGTGTCTGAGCTAGAAACTAGGTCTATCACTTACCTGCTATATAACCTTGTACAAGTTACTTAAACTTTCCTTATCTAAAAAGGTGAATAAAATTTATATGAGTTAATACATAAAATGTTCCCAGGAAAATACCTGAGTCATAATCAGTGACTAACTAACTTAGAAATGTTACTTATTGTATTATTATATAAGTGTTAAATAATCTTATTTTTTCTACACTCCTATTTTCTCCAGTATATGTCCTAATTCAAAAATAATATTCCTTAGACTTTCCAAGGCTTTCTTGACACATATAGCTGTTTTTATGTTTAAAAGGGAATATCTATCCCCTACAGACACTGAAGGTCAAATAGCCAAATTAAGCAGTAACTTTGGGTATGAAATTTCAAACAAATTAAGAAGCTAAATTATGTTTCATAATTTCAGTTCAACATTGAGGTCCAGTCTGCTATACATATTCCAAACCAGACAGCATTGTACTCTGACTTAAGGGTTATTTTTCCTGATCATAGAGATCCTATAATCTACAAATATCTGTAATAGTAAAGAGAGTGTCTGATGAACATTATCAATTGTTTTTCTAAAAAGAAGAAAACAAAACAAACACATAAACAAAAAGAACTATTAGAGGACGAAGACGATTTTCAAAATGTTGTTCTAACAGTACCCTTTTTGTGGTAGAGTAACTCTGTAATAATATACGACTCTCTGTCAAATAATTAAATAATTTCTATCTAAATTTTTATAGACATTGTAATTTCTCCATGACCTACAGTTCCCTCTACTTTAACTTTCTTAACCCACCAGATTTCAAAATATATTAATTATTTTTTTGTTTGCTTTTGAGGAAAAATTTATGAAGAGAAAGTAAAAACATTTGACCCTTGTTATGTCAGCATACAATAACACCAATGCCCGTCCATCAACCTTTATTCTTATTGGCATTCCTGGGTTGGAAGCTGCTCACATCTGGATCTCCATCCCCTTTTGTGTGGTCTACCTGTTGGCCCTACTGGGAAACGGCTCTCTTCTGTTTATCATCAAGACAGAGCCCAGCCTCCATGAGCCAATGTACCTCTTCCTATGCATGCTGGCTGTAGTTGATCTTGTTGTGTGTTCTACAGCTGTGCCCAAACTTCTCAGTCTCTTCTGGTTCCATGATGGAGAGATTCGCTTTGAAACCTGCCTCACTCGTGTTCCTGATTCACTCTTGCTCCACCATGGAATCTGGCTTCTTCCTGGCCATGGCTTTTGACCGATATGTGGCCATTTGCAATCCATTAAGACATTCAGCTATTCTGACACGCGCTGTAATTGGGAGAGTGGGCCTAGCTATTGTTCTCAGGGGCATAGCACTTCTCAGTCCTCACTCTTTCCTACTACACTGGCTTCCCTACTGCAGAACCCATATCATTTCTCACACCTACTGTGAGTTCATGGCCCTCATCAGGATTGCCTGTGCTGAGACAAAATTCCGCAGAGCCTACAGCCTCATTGTTGCCTTCCTTACTGGGGTGGTAGACTTTATATTGATCATTTATTCTTATGTCCTCATACTCCACACTGTCTTCCAGCTCCCATCCAAAGATGCCCGGCTCAAATCTTTGGGCACCTGTGGCTCCCATGTCTGTGTCATCTTAGTATCCTATACTCCAGCCTTCTTCTCGTTTCTCACCCACAGGTTTGGGCACCATGTGGCTCCCCATTTTCACATATTTGTGGCCAACATCTATCTTCTTGTCCCACCCATGGTGAACCCCATTATCTATGGGGTAAGAACCAAAAGGATTTGGGACAGGTTCCTTAAAGTTTTCAGTTTTTCAAAGCCTCTAAGTAAATCATTTTTGTTGGTGAGAAATATCTGAACAAAACATTGTATTATCTTAGAATGTAAGGTCTTTTTATTAAGGCCCTCTTTTAATAATCAGAAAACTAAGATTTTTCTGTAGAAAGTAACTTATTTAAACATAATTATAAGTTTAAACAGATATAAGTTTAGATTTTCTATGCACTTTAGAAATATTTACCAAGTAGTGGTAAATATTTGAATTTGATTACTTGACATTTGAATCTTGTTAGACTGTTTGAAATTAATAATTTGAATAATATGACTGTCAAACAGTGTATTTCAAAGTTTCAACTGTCATAACTATCTGAATCTTGCCATTATAGAAGATATCAATCTGAACATATTTGGAAACCAGATTAATAAAAGAAGAGTAGGGTTTGGGTCATGGGGCAGAGGAAAGGAAAAAAAAAAGAAGAGGAGGCTATGAGAAAATCTGACTTTGAACTGTGTCTTTTTGGGGACTATTTTGACAACACTTTGGAATTTATTCTAAAATGCTGCAATTATTTTTCAGTTTATTCCTACATTGTTTCTCCTTCCCCCCTCTTAAGGAAATCTTACTTTATTATCAACTCTTTCTGATATATGATGACTAAATATGATGATTAAATTTGCTTAACAAAATGTGTGATGATGAATTTTATTCATTTTTCATGTGTCAAAAAAAATCTCTTAATGTTTTCAACGGATAAAAGCCTAGTGTACCTCCCTGAAATCTTAAACATTTAAAACCTTGAGATCATATGTTTTATATATAATAAAAAAATATTCAGTTTGAGTTTATTAGCAACATTTGGCCATTTAAATGATATGACTACATATTTTATAGTCTCATGATATTTTCTTCAGATCTATAAAGATTATTCTATATTCACTATGCTGAGTACAGATATGTTAAAAAATTTTCAAAAGGAAGAAGCATTTTTATATAATGCCTATTATCCTTCCTTATGATGTCCAGAATGGTGTTGCTCATTTCAATCCTGAGAGGCTCTTTAGCTAAGATGTATGAAGGTTATTACAATCATTATCTTGAGACAGATATATTACTAAGTAGAACTCTTTATCAAAGTGTTATTTTCTCAAAATAAACAAACAAACAAAACAAAGCAAAAAGTTCATGGGGAATCATTAGCGGCAAGAAGAAAGAAGAAGAAGAAGGGGAAGGAGAAGGAGAGGGAGAAGAAGAAGAAGAGATGTTTAAAATCGACATGATGTATAATCATAGATCTTTGGTTGGCCATGTATGTCTTATCATAAGACTTACTTTTTTTGTTTGCCACAGTTTATCCTTCTTGGCTGAAGTTCTTTCTTTCTCAGGTACACAATTCAGCACTTTCTTGAGAGTCTTTTGGTGCTAACTTCTCTGTTATATGTTCATCTAAAGTTTTCTTTATTTTACCCTCATTCCTGAATGAAATTTTTCTAGCTACATAATTCTACTTTCCAGTTATTACATTCTTTTAGTCTTTTGAAGTCATTTTCTATAATCTTCTGAAATCTATTTTTGCTTTTAATCAGTGTGTGGTGGGCCAAATTACCATGAATTTGTAGGTAATTATGTGTTCTCTGTGACCATCATTAAATCTTGCTGCTTTTTTTTTGGTATGTGTAGTTTCACGTGGATAAATCTTACAGGCATTAGAGTAAGTGAACAACACAGACAGAAGTCTACATACTGTATGAGAGTTTGTTCATGTGAAACTAGAGAAGGAAGAACTGAAATGGGGGTAGTGTTCTGTCACTTGTGTTTTTAACACTCTCTAGGTAACTTGTATATGCAGCTAAAATTGAGCAAATTAAGGCACAGAAAAGTTATTAATAGTTGACCACTGGAAAAATATTTTAATCAAGTACTTTACCCCTCAAGCTAAAAATTATGAAGAGAATAAATATTATTAAGCGGTCCACAGCTCTTTACTGTACATTCTGTATGCATAATCACTCAACCCTTGCAATATTTGGGGGTTATCATAGAAATCCAGATAATAAATAGCTCAGCACACTCATATTTGATGGGTTACTGAATAGAGAACTTGAGATTTGAAGTCTACCTCTAAAGAAATAACTTTTCTGTAGTCTCACAACTATTTTATATACAGCTGAATGTCATTGAATGGGGCTTTCAGCAACACAGCTTCTCACAGACTCAGCTGTCAAAATTGTTACTACTGCTCATACCATTCTCCATGACCACCTTCACTTTAGTTAGATTCATTTAGTCAGTGTTTAATTACTAACCAGAATTCGCTGGAAATACAATTATACTTAAGGCAACATTTGTAATGATTTGCAGGATCTCAGTGTTGGACACACAAAAATATAGCCTTTCTTTCCCATATGATTTCTGAAGAGATTGAGATAAAATAAAATAATGAAGGATGAATTCTAGATATAATATTTCTTAGTGATTAAAGCTATTGTAAAGGACTTTGTTTGGCTTGAGAGCCAGTGAACACCGTAAGTAACCCCCAGAGTCAGGCATATATTTCTCATCAGAATGGGAAGATTTACCACGTGGCGGAGCATGAGGAAACACATACAACTTATTTAGAAAGACTTACTACCAAAAGAGTGTGTGTGTTTGAGGGGAGGGGTGCTTAATTAAACTTACTCAGTTTATGCTTGCCAAATTTGCAAATCTATTACCTTTCTCATTATTCTTATCGTTCTCCCTAGCACATAGTGAATCAGGATATGGAGAAAGGTTATAACTTGAACATGAAGAGTGGGGAGAAACATGTTGCTCCAGTAGTTTGATAAAGTTGATTCAAATACATAGACATTTCTTTCCAGTATAACATATAACATTTATACGGTGCTGACATTCCGCTAGTTCATTCTGAATTTTTAGATCCCTTAACCTCAGTAATTCCTCCTGCAAACTGACAAGATTTCTAATATTGATATGCTTATTTTACAAATAAGAAAACAGAGACACACAGAAATTATTTGATTTTTCCACAGTCACAGAGATGGTAAAGGTGGAGCCAGGATTTGAACCTAAGGTGTCTGACACTAGATTTATATTCTTACCCACTATACTATATAGAAATAGTAATAGTTTCTGAATACAAGACATCAGGAATATCAGGTAAGTAAAAACAAAGTTTGCTGTGGGTTAGGCCAAGTCAGAGGTGTGTGCATGTGTGTGTGTGTGTTTGTGTAGAGGTATAGAGGTAGTGGTGTTCAGCTTTGGTTTGGCCAATTCTGCATGCAACTACCTCTCTTTCTAAAGATGATCCTGGTATTTCCTTTTGATGGTCAAATGATTATTATTAATCAACTTTCAACTTTCAGGAGTGATTGTTCTCAAATTTAGAATGCTTGAAGCCTCTTAGAGATTGCTTGGGTCTACTGTAAGGCAATCAGATTCAAAATTTCTGTGGTGATTTCCATAACATCTGCTTTTCAACAATCATCATAATATTTATGATTCAGTGGTTCACAGCCCATCCTTGGAGAAACAGAGTTATAGGAAGTTACCAATGGATATAGATGCCCTTCCACTTAAATGCTACAGCATGCTTTAAAATTTCTACCAGGACTTCTTGTTTTTATTTAGCATGTATACATTGGAAGACCATTGCTCTCAAAAGCTTATGGCCAAAAAAAGTGTACAATAAAAAAAAAAACTAGCAATTTTCTTGGACTGATCAACTAGTTAAAATCACAGAGCAACCAACTAATTCTAACATAAAGAAAGATAGACAACTTCAAGAAAAGTTGGAACATGATCCCTAGTTTATTAGGGCCAGATGTCAGATTCTACACAAGCCAGTAAAAAGGATTTACTAAAATTTTAAAGCAAATTCCTCAAAGTGAAGTATAGACTTATGTGAGAATATGAAATGAGGGAATTCATTCCCACTCAGGTTGTCCTCCCTAGACTTCTACCAAGTAATTGTTAGAAAGACTGGAGGCAGGACTGCCTGAAAAAGCGTTCCTAATGGAACAGACCTGGTAGAGGGGAATAGCAGCCACAGAAGGATGGGAATCACACTTCACCCAGTTCCCTGTTTCTCCTCTTCCCTGAGGAGCGAATGCCTTCAGCCACCAGGGGAACAGAACATGTGAAGATCATTGTTCCTTAAAGGAGCAGAAATACATTCTGTAACCACAGCATGAATCAGGATCATCTGAAGTCTCCTGCAGCTTGGGGAGGGGCAGAATCACTCACTGAGAACTTTTCACCTCCAAGGCCCAGGAACATGGTGCTAGCCTAGGATTGAGGCTGAAGCAATACAACAGAATAAATGAATAGGTAAACGATGAGTTCAGTCTCACAGTTGGGGTCCAGGAAAAGTCTATATTTACATAATTAATGTGTAAGTATAATGCCTATAAATACACAGTATAACTGACTTTTTTCGTAGATTTTCTAGTCCAGGGTGTAATGTTAATTAATACATATCCACCCCTAAGAATATTTGACATATTTTCCATTATAATAACAATAAGTAGGATTTTTTTAAAAAGTGCATTCTATAGAATATGTGTCATGGGATGGCCTAAGAAGAGCACTCTGACACCAATCTTGATTCAAAGTTTCAAATGAGTATTTGTAAATTAAAAAGTCTGAGAGGTCCTGCAATAAATACATTGTTAGAAAGTTAGAATTTTCCAAATTTCACGATCACATTTTCTCTTGAATCTGTCTATTCATAATGTCAATAATGTCACATGGACCTGGAGAGCACTGAATTATATCACATGGAACTAAACTTTCATTAAAACAAACAACAATCAACAATAACAACAAAAAACACTTAGGTAATGATAGACTTAGAAGATCACTTGGACTTTTGACATTCCATAAAAGTGAAACTTCTCTAAGGGATGGCACAAAAAAAGACACATAAACAATATTGTTTGGAAAAGAACAGTTCGTTTTCAAAGAACTATCAGTAAGTTAGATTTTATAAAAACTTGTCCACCACATAAAAAATACAACACGACTATTTTTTTTTTCTGTAAAAAAAGGACTACAAATTTACCAAGATTTCTAAGTTTCTGCTATTCTCTTTATGGTGGAAGACCTCAAGCTTTTTACATAGCTATCATATTCATAGTATCAATTTTATGCCTTCCAACGTTATTATGGCAAAGTCAAAAATAACATTATTTTTGATAGTCCAGGTATATGGAAAATCCTCCAATGTTTATTGTATAGAACCAGCACTTACTGGGATGCCTCGATATTTTTGTTTAAACTCAAGATATAAAGGGCTTTATAGTGTTTTTTTGTTGGCTTGTTTCTGGTTTTTTGTTTGAATTTGCTTTAAATTGCCTATGGCTATGCTATGCTCAGTCATAAAGGATGCAGGACAACGTGTTCATATTATTTCATATTAGGAATCTGAATCATGTCCCAACAATGGAATATTAGAAAACATTCTTATCTATCCATTTGACATGGGCTTACCTTTCCATTTCTGGGTAGCACCTGCCAAATGATTGCCATTTTCAGTCCTCCCCTAAGATGGTCCTAAATACTTTCCAAATGTTCTGTTATTATTTTGAACATAGAAAATTCATGCCACTTTCATTGTAAATATGATTATTTATAATATTGATAATCAATCTGATATTTATAAATGAGCTATGTTTTATTTATTGAAAAACATTTTCAGCACTTGTGCTCTAATCTGTTTGGTTCTGACACCATAAATTACAGAGTTGAGAGCAGGTGGAATGACTACATAGAAATTAGCCAGAAGAATGTGGATAAAGTGAGGTATATTCCGACCAAACCTATGGTCATGAATGAGAAAAATGCAGGCATATAGAAAGTCAACATGACACACACATGAGAGCCACAGGTGCTGAATGCCTTGAGTCGTGCATCATGTGAAGAGAGTAGAAATACAGCACAAAGGATCTGTACATAGGAAATGACAATTGCTATGATGTCAAAGACCAGGATAGAGATGGCACATAAGCCATAGATGATGTTAACCCTGATGCTGGCACAAGACAGGCGGGCAATGCCCATGTGCTCACCGTAAGTATGAGGAATAATTTGGTGTCCACAAAATGGAAGCCTTAGGATAAATAGAACAAAGGGTATGACAAAGACTAAGGGTCTCAGAAAGATGGCCAGTGCCATAACTGACACCACCTTGTTTGTCAGCACCAACGTGTAGCAAAGAGGGTCACAGATGGCCACATAGCAATCATAGGCCATGGCCACAAGCACAGCTGATTCCATGCCAGTGCACAGGTGGATGAAGAACATCTGGGTAAGGCATCCTTCAAAGGAGATTTCTCTCAGGGTAAACCAGAAGGTGCCAAGCATTTTAGGGATGGTGGATGTAGACAGGCCCGGGTCAATAGATGACAGAATGGCCAGGAAGTAGAACATGGGATGATGGAGACTACTGTCAGTCTGAATCACAAAAAGGATGGTGATATTCCCAAGGACAGCTGTCAGGAACACAGCAAAGAAAGGAAAACCAACCCAGAGATGCATACTTTCCAGCCCAGGAATTCCCAGAAGAAGGAAAGAGTAAGGATGAAATAGAGTGGTATTCATTGAGGCTGTTCTTCTGGGAACTTTTTATGCTAAGATATATTATAAACTAAATGTCTCTCGTTCACTGAGTGGGCCTTATCCTTGCTTAGTGCACACAGAAAACAAAGAAATCAGTGAAACTAATATCTGCTATATTTCTGCATCATAGAGGCTTGAAAGTACGTACAATTTAATGGTAACATGTGGCCAAAGATTTAAATGTACTTCATTAGATTCATTCAAGTAAATTCAATATTTTAGTTCAACAAACATTAATTATCTACCACGTAAGTACCAGATTATATGCTGTGACTGATTGCAAAAGATGAACTAAAGGTTTATTTTCTGATGCAACATAGTGGTTTAAAGTTAGTGTTAGTAGTTGTAACAGTTACCCAAATCAGCAATGTAAACTTATAAAATATTGGTGAGATAAAATTGTTCCCTTACTACTTTAGATGCACATAAGATTCTCCTGAAAATATTTTAACATTGTTTAATGGAGAAACTGCTTAATTCATAGATACATACATTATGGACAAATAAGTAGACACATGATTTAAATATGACCAGACCCATTATAGTTCACATTTATGAGCTGAGAATATGTAATCCACTCTTCGAAGAAACCACAAATGTATACAACTGGAACAGTCTAAGATAATTTTGGATGTGTGCAGGTGTTTTATCGTTTAAGTCTGCAAGTCCATTTCTCATTCCAAGTCATCTTCCAATCTCTCCTTTCTTGTGGGTGCCAATATTAGAGAGGAACCCTGCCTTGAGGTCTTATTAATGAAACCTCTTACTCTGGATAACCCTCTCAAGATAATCTTCTTACTCTGGGTCTACTTACAATGGAATGCACATATCCCTCTTCATTTCAGATCTGTTGATTAACCTTGCTATTTCTAATTGTCTTTCTGCTGATAACTGTCAAGAAAGAAACAGATTTACGAACATGTACACACACAAACATTAGTGTTCAAGTTTATGAAACATCACAAAGTTGTCAGGCAAAGTAAGTTAATTTGTACACACCACTTCCTGATAGTGAGTCTAGCATTTGTCTTGCTATATTGTGTTGCTATGATGTATCTTATCTTTATAAAACTGTGGTCAAGCACACTGTGATTAAAAACTCTTTCACACACTAGTGTGTGTGTGTGTGTGTGTGTGTGTGTGTGTGTATGTCTTGGAAGGGTGCACTGCAGCTTGGGTGTTGGGCAAATTTCTTAAGAAATCTTAGAAAGTAGAAATTGATCAGGTATAGGGAGAAGAAAAGGAAATTGAGTTAAGATAATTATTCCAAAACAAGCAAATTGGGAAACAGAAGAGGAGTAACTCAGAAAAAAATAACTATTTGGAAAACTATCCTAATTTCATCAGTGGTGACTATATGCAAGATGTGGTGTTGGAATTGAGGAGACTGGTGAAAGAGATGTGACAGAATCCTATATTCAGATTTCTTCTTTGTGAGTTTGGTTTAGCTAACTTAACAGGGCCTAGTATATGAAAATGGAATAATGTTTAGAAACCAACACTAGGAATTGAGTCTATGTTTTGTTTCTCATTTCCATGTAATATTGAACACATTATTTTTCTTCTTTAAGTCTAAGACTCCATACCTATGAAATGAGAGTAAAATGCCTGCATTGCAAGAGCTTTGCAAGGTATGTCTGACTCGAGATGTCTCATCAAAAAAGTGTATTACAGTGACTGGTTATCCTATTGATGAGAACATGACAAAGTAAAAAGCTATAGTGAACTTGCTTATACAGTTTGTCAGGCAATCCTTTACATAATTTAGCAGACATTCAATCCTGATACTTTATCTGCATATAAATATTTTGGTAGCATTTTTAATGTTTATAATCCAGTACAAATGATTATTCTTATCATTTGACATTTGTACATAAATTGTATCACACATTTGGAAACTGCACCATTGAAAAATGATTGGGACTACTTTCTGTCAGAGAAAAGTAGCATGTAATTTGGTTGTGTTATACTGGAGAGGGATAATTTCTGAATGGTTTAAGGTAACTTCAATTATGGTTTTTTCTCCGTGTCAAACATGGGCCTGGGTTGGGACCATTTATCTAATCTTTAGATTAAGTTAGAAGGACTAAAGGAGAGGGAACAGTGAGAAATACACAGAAAACATGAAGGGAAAGAAATTTGATAGATCACTACCTGGCTGTGAAGAGCTCTAGTGCACAGAATGGCAAAAGTATCAAAAGATGTCAGAGCTTCACACAAAGATTGTGTAAGATGTATAAGAAACAATTGAAGGTAGTAGTTGCTCAAGTGTATATGAAATTATGCCAATAAATTCTTACAGTAAGCTCTCTTATCCACTTCCCTCAATAAGAAGGTTTTCTTTTCTTTCCCCTATTTTATCATCTTCTGCTCTTTTCATTGTTCTCAGCCACAGATCAGAATCCATAATTCCAAAATGTTACCTACCAGCAGAAACACCTGCAGAAGTAAGCAAATCTCCCTTCACATTCTTCTGAATTCCATTTGCTTATGAGGGTGGGTTTTGTACCGTGGTCACAACATCCAGAGGGAGATCTTTGCAACACCTTATATTGGAACACCCTGGAGATAATGGGACCTGCAAAGCTCTGAGCTTAGTATTAACCCTTTCCTGTGAAATTGAGTGTTATTGTACATAGACAACCCATGTCCTGGTTCTGAGACCAGATTCTGAAATATAGGATTATCTGATTTCCAATGGTAAAATTAATATTTTTAAAAAATATGATATTATTTTTTAAAAAGTCTTATAAAATCCTTAAGCATTTTTTAACAATATTGCTGGTATCAGTTCTGCGTTCTTTGTCCTGAACACCTCAAGGAGGGTGGGGCTAGTCCATGCACCACAATAGGTAGACTAATGACCAAATTAAATTCTCTAAGACAAAGGTGGCAGTAGTGGCCGGCAGCCAATGGCTGTGCAGGAAATGCGACCCACGGAGTTAAACCCAAGAAAGGAGCCATCAAGGAGGATCAGACCGGGAAGTCGGGCACAGCCATTAGAGGGACTGCCACACGCCACTTGTGCAGACTTATTGGCAGATGGGAAAAGATGTCCAAGGTTGGCCCCGCGTGGTAGCTCACACCTGTAACCTTTAGGGGAGAATCCACCTTCTTAACTTTTCCATCTTTTGGATGCTGCCAACATGTTTTGGTCCACGGCCTCCTGCTATCTTCAAGGCCTGCAATGGCCTATGCAGTCTATCTCACATCACATCCCTCTGACAATGACTTTTCTGCTGCCTCCTACTTCCACTTTGTAAGGATGTTTGTAATTACATTGAACATGCCTACATAATCTAGAATAACTTCCCTATCTTAAGGTCAGATGATCATCAGCCGTAATTCCCTCTGCAACTTAAATTCCCCTTTATCTTTGAGGTCCATTATCTTACCTGCCACATAGGTTGCTTTATTTTTTTAATTTGTTTGTTTATGCTGTACCTCACATATAGTGTCTACAGTGTTTTTTTCCTTCTCCTCTTTTTTACATGTATATAAAACTGACTTACTCATTTATATTAGAAATTCATTATCAGCAATCCTTCTCTTGATATACTATGTATTTATCCTGAGAAGATTTGTATTAATATTTGTGTTGGTATTTATTGGTTTCTTCTAAGTTTTCTGGGAACTTTCCAAAATATAACAATTTAAAAATAATTTTCATCTTGGGGTTTTTCTGGGCTATATATAAAGTACAAGGTAAGAAATATAGCTAGGAATCTTGATGGCCCGCATTGAAAGCTTTGCTATTTAAGATCTACACAACTTTGGGCATTAATTAGGTTTTCAATTTTACAGTTCCTTCACAGAATAGAAGTAAAGACTCTTGATTTCTTAATTCAAGTTTTTTTTTCACATACAGAGTTTCCATTTGAATCTTTAAAAGAGTTCTAGTTTTTTAAAGAACACTTCAAATTTTATTTAATTTTCTTAAGTATATTTAATTACAGTTATTATAAGACCTATTTGAAAATAGTATTATTTGATCTCCTATGTTTATTCCTATTTTAAAAAAAACTGGTGTTATGACACATTTGTTTGATTCTTTCTCTGCATGGTTATGCTGATGCAAGATACTTTGTGGAAAATAAATTAGAAATATTAATAATTTGAGTCCAAGGATAATTTATACAATACTATTCTGACTTAGAAGATTTAGCTTTAGATTTGCTTCTGGCAGGTGGCCATGGTCACTAACAATCTCAGATCTTAAAGCAGCATTTGAGATCGTTTGAACCTATGTCAGTCTCTCTGTGAATGCATCTATTTCTGGCTCACTCTTAACACTTAGGGAAGTTCCCTAGGAGATTACCAAATGTCTGAGTAGTTTCTAGAATCTGCCCACTTCTAGTAACCATTTTAGTGCCATATTCTTTTTATTCAATTCTACAATTTTAATATTCACATAGTGCCTTTAGGCTGTTGAAAATTTACATAGTTGGAGCTTACCCACTCCCCATTGTGTATCTAAGCTCATCCAGCCAGCAGAGATAGGATCAGATTTTCCTTGATTTTCTCCCACTTGAACCTCCCTTAGGAATTCTCAGTTTGTATGGAAATTCCCTGTACCTCTACCTGAGCAACTGACATCCCTTAGACCCACAGGTCTCTACTCCCCATATAGCATGAGTAGCTACAGTTCCCCCAGGCTTCCAGAACTCCAGGACAAATGAGAGGCTTCCTTTATCATTGGTATATAAGCTGGTAACCTTCTAGACTCCTTAGGCAGAACGAAGCCCAACTTGAGCATTCTAACCAGGAGTAAGAGTACAAAGCAATAAGCTAATGAAGGGATGGGTAAACAGAAGTAGCATACACATTTTATAAGTCTGATGGAGGGAGGAGGGCAGAGCTAGGAGGGAAAACAATTGCCATTTGTGAAGAGAAACAAGGAAAGAAAAGGTTGGCTAAAGGAAAGAGAGATTGGCTTTAGGAAGTTAGAGATAGGGGATATGGGTGAGGAGAAAATGGAGAAAATTTTGTAGGAGAAAATAAAGTGTTAGTGATACAGTAATATAAAGGAAAATGTGGTGGGCTATCTTAGATAACTGGATAGAAAATGTTTAAATAGAGTGGTGAAAAAAAAAAAGAGGTTTGAACTGTTAAACCAATAGAAAGAGTGAAAAAAATGCCTGTAGTTTGGTGAACAAGAGTGGCAGTGCTGTTTGATGTCAGAAAGAGTGAAGCTGTCTGGGAAGCAAGCTAAGGAATTTGAGCAAAAGAGCACAATGATGAGAAGGAAGATGTGTGGGGGCAAAACCAGATGTATACTTCTACTTCTCTTTTCCATACATAAGGAAAAATGATCCCATTATGTAACAGTCTCACAAGTGATATCATAGCAATGTTTTTCCTTTTACTCTGAGAGCGGTAGAAACAAATTATCTTGTTAGCAGAGGAATGACTTGACTTGCCAATGTTTCATTGTTGTTGCTTTGTTTTTCAAGAATTTACTACCTGCTATAAAAACATAGATTTAGGAAGAATGGCCCAAGAGTGGAAAGAAAGA
Source organism: Homo sapiens (assembly GCF_000001405.40). NCBI lineage: Eukaryota > Metazoa > Chordata > Mammalia > Primates > Hominidae > Homo > Homo sapiens. Next base: position 5,064,038 of record NC_000011.10, on the reverse strand, counting down.
GATAAAAGGCTAACGAAGTATCGCAGAAAATAAATAGTGATGACAGTGCTAAAGATCAGAAGTAAATAAATTAAAGCACATTAGACATAAAAACAAGGGGACTTATTGAAGAACTTGACAGAGGTAAAAGGGTTTTAATAATGGAGAACAAAGCCTAGTTTTCAGATTTGAATAACCATGCAGTAAGATTTACATTTACTGAGAAGGAAATGTTAAGGATATTATTAAGGAAAATTCTTTATTGATTGTGTGATGTTTGCTGTGCCTCTTAGATGTTCTAATATCCAGTACGTTGTCAAATATACTACTTGGGAGATCATTAGAGGAGTCAAGTATGAAGATGTACAGTGGAGTTATCAATGCATAGACAGATTTGAATGCTGCATTGCTGAATTAAAAAATCTTAGAGAAAGAATGTAGTTATATAAGAGATATAAAACCAGATCTAAAATTTAAGGTATCCATGGCAACATTTAGAAATCTGACAGTGAAGGAATATTCAACAAAGATTTTAAAAAGATTAGCAATATAAAAGGAAACACGAGTATGTTAGTTATATACATAGAGATTTTTATGTTATACATATAGTATGTTATATATAAACATACTCAGTATATATCGATGTAATATATATGTATGAGTATGTTTATATATGTACATATAGTATATTTGAACCTTTTATTTTAAGTTCAGGGTACATGTGCAGGTTTGTCATTCATTTCTTACTGTAAGAAGTTCCACTTGTGTCTAACTAAATTGTCAAAAATATATAACAAATAAGTATATGTACTTCAAAATATATATACACACATACATATATACACACATATATATATATACACACACACAAACACAAACACCTATACATATTTATGCATGTGTGTATGGGTGTGTGTGTATATATATAGCTTGCTATTTAAACATGTATATATATATATATAAACTAGTATATATACACTAGTGTGTATATATAAACTAGTATATATACATATGTATACACACACACAATCTTAAACAAACTATATAAATATATATACTTTGTTTCAAAGAATGGAATGATCCAGGGTCACATGCTGCTGGGAGTTGTAGTAGGATGAGACGGGGATATTTGTTTGGGTTTGGTGTCCAGAGATCAATAATTAACTTAACTAGAACTGTTTTAGTTTCAGCCAAGTGTTGGATAGGATGCTAAAATAAAGAGAGTATGGGTGAGGTGAGGACAGATTATACACACTGTTTGGCTCTTACAGCCCCTTTTCACATATTTTTTGATAATTTCAATTGATTCATCTCCCTTGAGGGGTGATACAGTTTATCTGTTTTCAGTCTTTGTTACCAGAAATATATAGATATTCCTAGTTTTAGTTCTAAGCTTATTTTTAACTTTTATTTTAGGTTCAGGGGTACATTTGCAGGTTTGTTATCCGTTTCTGACCGTAAGAAGTTGCGCTTGTGTCTGATCAAATTGTAAACACAAAGAAAATTTTGTCACCATCAAAATAAAAGTAATTTATAACACAAAAGGCAACCCTTACTTGATTATCAGCAGATCAGCAGAATTGATTATCAGCAGATTTCTCAGCAGAAACCTTGTAAGCCAGGAAAGGATGGGATGATATATTCAAAGTGCTGGGGGAAAAAATGCCAAATGAGATTACTAGATTCACTCAACCCAGCCTGTCCTTTACAAATGAAAGACTTTACCCAACAAACAACACTGAGGGAATTTGTCACCACTAGACCTGTCTTACAAGAGGTGCTAACGGGAATTCATTCTGAAATGAAAGGATGCTAACTAGTACATATGAAAGTATACATCTCACTGGTAAAGGTAAATATATATACAAATGCCAAATAATGTAATACTAAATGGTGGTGAATTAATAACTTTTAACACTAGTATAAAAGTAAAAGGAAAAAAGTATTAAGAATAACTACAACTGCAAAAAGTTGTTAATTGATGCAAATATAAAAATAAAGTCTGACAGCAATAACATAAAATGTGTGCACAGGTGAGTAAGTATAGAGTTCTTGTAAATTAGTATAAGATTGAAGCTTAAGGTGTTAGCTTGAAATGGAGTTATAAAATATAAGAGGTAAAATAATGAGTAAATCTGTGTTTGATTTCTTTGTTTTTCCTTTCAAAAACAATTTCTGTCTGATGATCTCTTTAATTATTCCCAATTCACATTGATTGAGGTATGGCTGTTTCAAATACTACTTTGATGTTCCAAACAAAGTAATTCAGAAGGAGCTATGTAATTCTGCACAGGTTAAAGAAGTCATATATATGTAACTTATTCAGCAGTTATTCTCAGGAAAAAAAACTCTCTTAAAAGAGGAGTTATTTTATTTCACTAACAAATTAGCTTAGTGATTTTACAGTTGTGTTTTCATTCAGAATAGATTTTAACACATAAAGAATGTTTGATGTGACATGATAGACAGGATTGGTGGCACTTATTTATCACCAAAATATTGTTGTGCCAGATATTTCTATTTTTGTATCTTCTGAAAACCATTAGTTATATTTTATGGAGTTCTGTGTATTCAAAAACATGATGCCTGTAATTTTGTTCATTTACATATTTCTCAAGAAGATGGCTATTTTATGTACACAGACAATTTTTTTCTTGTAGTCATTTATTCTTTATTTTACCTGTTAAACATCCCACATTTTATAAAATGGGGTATAGACTTACATAGCATATCATTTACATACTTATCACTATCATTAATTTGGGTAGTAATCCCAATAATTTACATGGCATTTCTTTCAAACTGCCAGGGTTTGTTAACCTCTCTAATCTTGAGTAAGGCATTTTTCTATGGAACAGTAAAAGCTTTCCATGGTCAGAAATGCTCTGAAAATACTCCCCCATCAAATATTACAAGCAAGGTGCATGAAGACAGATTAGATGAATTTAGGTAACTTTGAAATGATTGAGACTGGGTGCAGTGGCTCACTCCTGTAATCCCGGCATTTTGGGAGGCAGAGGTGGTCAGATCACTTGAGGCCAGGAGTTCAAGACCAGCCTGGACAACATGGAGAAACCCCGTCTCTACTAAAGATATAAAAAATTAGCCAGGTATGATGGCCCGTGCATGTAATCTCAGTTTCTCTGGAGGCTGAGGCAGGAGAATCCCTTGAACCTGGGAGGCAGAGGTTGCAGTGAGCTGAGATTGTGCCACTGCACTCCAATCAGGGTGACAAAGTGTGACTCTGTCTCAAATAATAAAATATAAATAAATAAATAACATGATTGCATTATCATAAATCTAATATTATAAGGCTCCTGTTTTTTCTCACTAGTTTTTAATTAAACATTTGACATATATCTTAAATTCCTGAAGTCATGATTGCCTCAGCTTTGAGCTAGAGATACTAACGTGTTATTCAGATGGATGTTGTGAGTTTTGAAAAAAATATGTATTTGTCTAACCTGTGTGTAATATTATGCATGTGTGTGTGTATTTTATCCGGTGTGAATAACACAGATAAGTCATACATTACACTTTTGTTTCCTTCTATTTTCCTTCTATGTAAATTCACTACTTTTATCCCTAGCTTAATTTCCCAGATCATCCATTAGAAGCATTTTAAACATCTGACAAGCCTCTTAAACTCATTGATCGCTTACATGGAAAATATGAAAAATTAATATTCTCCTTGAAGGGTGTTCTTTTTATAAATTGGAGATGATTTGCACATAACAAAGCTTTGCAAATAGTAGGCAGTACTTCAATAATTGGTAGTTGATGCGACTGTTTTCACTGTTATTCTGTATTTTATTTTACAGTAATAATGAGTAAATATTTTTAAATGGACAGTTTTAAACCTTTAAGTGATTTTTAGTATATTTTGGCATAAATTTTGATCAGTCTGTGTGTTTATTGAATAGAGTGTACCCACCCTCTGTGTTAATCCATATGTGTTATCATTCAATCAACTGGAATTAATTTCCACCACTACATTTAAGGGCTAGGAAAACCCTACCTTGTTCAAAATTCAAAGGGGTTCTTTGGTGATGATGGTAATAATGAGAGAGAATAGCTAAAGTAAAAAGTATTCAGGCAAATCTTAGCATAATATTGGCAGTGAGGTTATATTGATAGGGTTTAGGTAGAGTAGAATGCTAGCAAAGTTGAAAGTATCACGTAGAACATTTTATTTTAATTTACTGTATAAATTCATCTAAGAATTTATCCCTGAGATGTTTGTTACTTACCTAAAGTGCTCTGTATACAGTATGTTTCAAAGTGATAGAATTTCCTGCAAAAAATCATGTGCACAAATGTATGTTTCTTATATTAAATTTTTGTCTCCGAACTGCAGAAGCCTGTGTGGTTACATGCAGATTGGGTGAGCATACATTTCTGTAGACTGTGGACTTATGCATTCACAAGCAGGATGTTCCTTCCCAATGACACCCAGTTTCACCCCTCCTCCTTCCTGTTGCTGGGGATCCCAGGACTAGAAACACTTCACATCTGGATCGGCTTTCCCTTCTGTGCTGTGTACATGATCGCACTCATAGGGAACTTCACTATTCTACTTGTGATCAAGACTGACAGCAGCCTACACCAGCCCATGTTCTACTTCCTGGCCATGTTGGCCACCACTGATGTGGGTCTCTCAACAGCTACCATCCCTAAGATGCTTGGAATCTTCTGGATCAACCTCAGAGGGATCATCTTTGAAGCCTGCCTCACCCAGATGTTTTTTATCCACAACTTCACACTTATGGAGTCAGCAGTCCTTGTGGCAATGGCTTATGACAGCTATGTGGCCATCTGCAATCCACTCCAATATAGCGCCATCCTCACCAACAAGGTTGTTTCTGTGATTGGTCTTGGTGTGTTTGTGAGGGCTTTAATTTTCGTCATTCCCTCTATACTTCTTATATTGCGGTTGCCCTTCTGTGGGAATCATGTAATTCCCCACACCTACTGTGAGCACATGGGTCTTGCTCATCTATCTTGTGCCAGCATCAAAATCAATATTATTTATGGTTTATGTGCCATTTGTAATCTAGTGTTTGACATCACAGTCATTGCCCTTTCTTATGTGCATATTCTTTGTGCTGTTTTCCGTCTTCCTACTCATGAAGCCCGACTCAAGTCCCTCAGCACATGTGGTTCACATGTGTGTGTAATCCTTGCCTTCTATACACCAGCCCTCTTTTCCTTTATGACTCATCGCTTTGGCCGAAATGTGCCCCGCTATATCCATATACTCCTAGCCAATCTCTATGTTGTGGTGCCACCAATGCTCAATCCTGTCATATATGGAGTCAGAACCAAGCAGATCTATAAATGTGTGAAGAAAATATTATTGCAGGAACAAGGAATGGAAAAGGAAGAGTACCTAATACATACGAGGTTCTGAATGCAATTTTATGAAATTTCAGTGAGAGAAATGTCTTGTCATAAAAATTATATTCTAATATGTGGCTTTATTGGCTCTCTTCTGTATTTAAATACATTGAATTTCTCCATCTGCTTTTCATACCACATTTTGAGATCTGTTGCTGCATTTTTTTTTTTTTTTTTTGAGACAGAGTCTTGCTCTGTTGCCCAGGCTGGAGAGCAGTGGCATGATCTCAGCTCACTGTAACCTCTGTCCCTGGGGTTCAAGTGATTCTCCTGCCTCAGCCTGCCAAGTAGCTGAGACTATGGGCATGCACCACCATGGCCTGGCTAATTTTTGTTTTTTAGTAGAGATGGGGTTTTACCATATTGCTGCATTCTTGTTCTCTCTATTCAATACTCTTATAATTTCATTTAAGCAGGTAATGTTATTTTTCTCTATTATTTGGAATAGCTGGTTGAAGTGTTTATATCAGATATGAATGCACCCATTTTTGCTGGGTAATTGATGTTTCATGGAGCTGCTTCTTACAATACAATTATAATAATTTTCTGAGTGTCAACTTTTATAACTGTAGGATGCTGGAGATAAAATTTTGACTATGTCACCTTCCCTTACTTTGTGGAATTTATAGAGTCTAAAATTAATGAGCAACTTCAACTTTGAAATGTCCATACTTTTTGTTTTAATTGTTCTATATCATTATAATTTATGTTTATCTTCCCTTAAGAGACACAGCGATTTAATGGTAATGGGGTATCCTAAATGGGATGCTGGATTAGAAAAAGGACATTGGCTAAAAAGTAAGAAAATCTTAATAAAGTATGAGCTTTAGCAATAAATATGTATCAATTACCTGCTTCATTAATTTTGGAAAATAGACTACACTAATATAAGATGTTTACAATAAGGGGAATTAAATGTGGGATATATGGGAACTATCTGCAATATCCTCACGAATTACTGTTATATCTAAAATTATTCTAAAACAAAAGAGGTATTTTTCAAAATCACAATGAATAAATAGGTCCTTTGGGGAAGAACCTATTTTTAAAAAGTCTTGAGTCTCCCTGTCAATGAACTTAGTATACAAATGCATTGATTTTAATTCATACTTAATATAATTTAATAAGGTTTTATACTTTACTAAAAAATAAAAGTCCAACCATTAGCAAAACTTTCTTCTATTATGGAAACCATCTTGGGGCGGAAAAACACCAAGATTTTAGAGTAAGAATAATAAGCTGAGAAAAAATTAGCTCTAAATTTATCTCTCATTCTTCATTTCACCGTAATTCCCCCAAATATTTTTTATATCTTTGTTGAGAGAAAAATTGAAATTATATGTCCTAGTAGAATTTTTAAAATTAGAATTTAATTTCACACAACTGGATTAATTTTATTATTCGAAATAGTTGTTTCATAATGCATTTTGTTTATTTCATTCTAAACCATCTTTGACTGTATTCGTATATCTGCTTGTCTATGTTTTGTATGTCCCTTTCCAATGACACTCAATTCCTCCCATCCTGATCACTCATTACACTTTTTGTCAGCCTGTTTCCACTTCTTTTCCCTGAAACTGAAATTATAAACCAGGAGCATAATTCCTTAATGCTTTCCCCACATGTACTAACAGCAATTGATGCCTGCTGGTGAATTAATAGTTCAACCGGAAACATACATATCACAATAGCACACACACACGAACACGCATGCAAGTTACTGTTTCTTCTTCATGATTATATTTAATATGGCTAAATGAGCTCTAGAGATTATTAGCTACCACATATGAAAGGACAAATGTTTAAACTCACTATGTCTGAACAACAATCCTCCCAGGTTTTGATATACTGATCTCCAAAGCGGGCTGCATACAAACTCAGTCGATACACAGGATGTTAATATTTTATTTTCTTCATGTATGTATTTAAGTGACCAGTAACTCAAAAATATGCATCAATTAACCAAAGTATTAATGAGGAGACCAAATAGAGAAAACACAAAAGACATTAGACCATAAAGAGCATTCTATGTCTTATAATGAGCAAACCTTTTAAAACTAGTAAAACGTACAAATTTAAGGGAGTCTTTATAGCATTCTTGCCATTTTAGTGAAAAACCAAGTAAAGTAAATACCTCTCTTCCAATATTTGGTGGTTTGCAATTTGCTTCTGTTTAATGCTAAATATGTGTGACAGAATACATGAGAATGAATAAATGTTGACCTGGAATTGAAAGTCATAAAAACCCAGCCCAAGAGGGGAAAAATAAGTGCTCATGTCAACAGAGAAGTTTTGTTTAGATGCTGAAGTGTGAAGGCATGAGGTGTGTTCTGAGAAATATTTTCATCCAGAAAGCGAGAGAGAAAAAGATACTAGAAAATAGGATAGTGAGTAAAGTTAAGAATAATTATAGTGGAGGCTCTTCACTGTAAAACATTATTGAGTGTGTCAAATGGCTTAGAAATATCTGCTTCCTGCCAAGAACATGAAACAGTAAGAGGGGAAGGCTAGATTAATCAAAGGGGTACTCACTGCTGTGCAACACAAAGTTGCAGAAGTGACAACCAAATGTTTTATCTCGTCAAATAAATCTTTGGTTTAATCTAAAACAGTCTCTTTATAACTTGATGGATGTTTGGACAGGTGTTATAAGATATCGTGAACAGTAAGATATTGATGTTTTTATTTACATATGTGAAAAGTTGTGATGACAGTTTGTTTAAATTTTGCAAATGGTACAACTAATACAAGTTGTTGTTACATAAATGATTGTTAATGTTTTTGATTTCTGGCTTTTCCATAAATTAGCTTAAACTCTGGAGAATAACAAATGACTGTGCAAAAAAAAAATTTTCCATTGCTTACGTATATGTTCTAGAGTATTGAGAGGTTCAATGTGGTGTACTGAATGCATTTTAAGCCTGAAATCCTTTGATGAGTGTATACATTTAACCTTCTGAAGTTCAGCCAATCATGAGTCTTGGTCCACTTAAAAAAAATGTTATCCTTAAGCACGCTTATTTAATAATTAAACTTCTTAATAAAAATTTTTAAAAAGTCAGTGAAATCTATAAATTTAGCAACCTAAATAAGAAAAAAATAAATATATTGGTCAATGAATTTATGAAAAATATTTTTACAAAATTCAACACCCACACATGATAAAAACTCCCATAAAATTTCAATAGAGGGGAACTTCTTCAGCTTGAAAAAGAACAATGACGAACATAATCTACATCAAACATTATGCTTTATAGTGAAAGATAATGTATTCCCTCTAAGAAAGGCAAGGAAATGCATTCTCACCAATATTATCCATTATAGTGCTAGAAATTCTAGCCAGGGCAGTTAGTTAATAAAAAATAAACACACTGTCTTCCACAATGGTTGAACTAATTTCCACTCCCACCAACATTGTAAAAGCTTTCCTATTTCTCCACAACCTCGCCAGAATCTGTTGTTTCCTGACATTTTAATGATCACCATTCTAACTGTCGTGAGATGATATCTCATTGGGATTTTGATTTACATTTCTCTAGTGACCAGAAACAGCATTTGACCCAGCAATCCCATTACTGGGTATATATCCAAAGGATTATAAGTCATTCTGCTATAAAGACACATGCACATGTATGTTTATTGCAGCACTATTCACAATAGCAAAGACTTGGTTCCAACCCAAATGCCCATCAATGATAGACTGGATAAAGAAAATGTGGCACATATACACCATGGAATACTATGCAGCCATAAAAAAGAATGAGTTCATGTCCTTTGCAGGGACATGAATGAAGCTGGAAACCATCATTCTCAGCAAACTAACACAGGAACAGAAAACCAAACACCACATATTCTCACTCATAAGTGGGAGGTGAACAATGAGAACACATGGATACAGGGAGGGGAACATCACACACCAGGGCCTGTTGGGGGGTTGGGGGAAAGGGGAGGGAGAGCATTAGGACAAGTACCTAATGCATGGGGAGCTTAAAACCTAGATGACAGGTTAATGGGTGCAGCCAACCACCACGGCACATGTATACCTAGGTAACAAACTTGCACATTCTGCACATGTATCCCAGAACTTAAATTTTTTTAAAAAATTAAGAAAAGGATAATAAACAAAAAAATAAAACTCTTCCTATTTCTAGATGACAAGATTGTTCATGTAAAAAATATAAAAGATTAAAAAATTATCAAAACTATTAAATGAGTTCACCAAGACCTCAGGAGATAGAAATCAACATTCAACAAATAATTCTATTTCTATATACTAGTGATGAACTTCAAGCTTTAAAAATACAAAACCAGGGCCGGGCGCGGTGGCTCACGCCTGTAATCCTAGCACTTTGGGAGGCCGAGGCGGGTGGATCACGAGGTCAGTAGATCGAGACCATCCTGGCTAACACCGTGAAATCCCTTCTCTACTAAAAATACAAAAAATTAGCCGGGCACGGTGGCAGGTTCCTGTAGTCCCAGCTACTAGGGAGGCTGAGGCAGGAGAATGGCGTGAACCTGGGAGGTGGAGCTTGCAGTGAGCTGAGATTGCGCCACTGTACTCCAGCCTGGGTGACAGAGTGAGACTCCGTCTCAAAAAAACAAACAAACAAACAAACAAAAAACCAGGCCAGGTGGTGCAGTGGCTCACACCTGTAATCCCAGCACTTTGGGAGGTCAAGGAAGGCAGATCCCTTGAGCTCAGGAGTTGGAGACTAGCAACATGGTGAAAGTAATCATACACACAATTATTTTTTTCATAGTATTTGTTAGATAATCACAACACAATTAATAAAATTAAACAGATGGTAGCTATAATTGCAGCTGCTTTGCCAGACTAGGTCCCTCTATTCAAGAAGATAGAGACTCTAGAACTTCATGTGCAGTGATGAAATGATTGAACTTAAAACTAATTACTTTCTTATTTTGAATGTAGCTGAAATGGAGTTCCGTATACATACTATAAAGGGCGAGATTAATTATTGTGGAGTTTTCAAGGTCATATGGTTTCTATTGCAATTCTATGGCCATATGGTTTTATTTAACTCTATCACTGAAATGCAAAGAGAGGCATATATAATGTAAAAGTAAGTGAGCATATCTCTGTTTCAATAAAACTACTCACAAAAGGAGGTGGTGGTCTATAGTTTGCCAATGCTGCTCTTAAAGATAAGTGGCTGTAGAAATAAAAAAAAATGTTATCAGTATAAAATGACTTTATAATATTTTATATTACAATCATGTGTGCTCAACAATGGGGATACAGCCTCAGAAGTGCATCATTAGGCAACTTCATTGTTGTGTGAACGTTATAGAGTGTACTTACACAAAACTAGATGGTATAGCCTACTACAGACTTAAGATATGTGGGAAAGCCTATTGCTCTTAGGCCACAAACTTGTACAGCATGTACAGTACTGACTACTGTAGGCAATTGTAAGACTGTGGTAAGTATTTGTGTCTCTGAATATGTCTAAACATTTAAAAAAGTACAGCAAAAATACAATATAAAAGATAAAAAGGTGGTACACCCTTATAGGACACTTCCACAAATGGAACTTGAAGGACTGGAAATTGCTCTGAGTGAGTCAGTGGGTGAAAGAATGTGAAGTGTTGAGTAAATGTGAGGGCCTAGGACATAACTGTATACTACTGTAGACTTGATAAACATTGTATATTTAGGCTATGTTAAATTTATAAAAAATAATATTTTTCTTCAATAATAAATTAACCTTAGCATGCTGGATGTCCACCATTTTATATGAGATTTGTACTTGACTGAAATGTCATTTTGCAGTGCATGCCTGTATATCGTTTATATAATATTCTATATGATGTAAAACTTAATAGTAAAATTATATGATGTGTATAAAATGGCAACACTAAAAATGAAAAGGAAGAGTTAGGAATATAGTATGGTAAGGTTCTTACACTGTGCATGAGGCAGTATAGTATTTGAAAATAGACTATACTTAATTAAAGTTACATGTTGCAAATATTAAGAAAAAACTATATTAATAATGATTCAGTATTGGAGATAACCGATTCAGTTAAAAATGTTGAGTAAAACCAAGACACAGTGGAAAATGAGGGGAAAAGAAACAAAAAACAGATCCAATAAGTAAGAAAATGCTAGAAAACTGGTAGATTTTAATCTAAACATATCAATAATCACATTAAAAATGAACAGCCTAAATACATGAACTAACAGTTAGAGATTATTATATTGGAGAAAAAGCAAGGCCCGCTTATATGTTTTCTATATTTAAAATGAAGACCTAGGTATCATAAATGTAGAAAAATGGAAAAAGATTTACCATAAAAAATTAACAAAGAAAAGCTAAAGAGTATATGCTGATATGAGACAAAATACGTTTCAGAACAAAACTAGTTTAAAGGGCATTGTGTAACAACAGTAGTTCAAAATATATTTTTCAAAAACTAGTAGACTTTAAAGAGATATGAAGACATCTACAAATATAAGCAATTTAACACTTCACTCTCAGTAACTGATTGAGCAAGTTGGTAGAATATCTGTAGGGAAAGAGAAGAAATAAATGACACCCATCAATCAACCTGAGCAAATTGACATTTGTAGACACTGTACCCAAACACAGAGGGGTACACATTTTACCTATTTTCCTAATAAGCTTTTTTTTAAAAAAAAATAAAAGATAAGGTACTTTTCATTTTGCATGCAGCTGTGAGAAATACAGAGTGACCGTATGTAGCCTTTTCCTAGTTTTCTCCCAACTGATATCTCGCAAAGCAACATCACAGCCATGATACCAACATTGGGACATTGAAGATACAGAAGATTTACATCACCACAAGGATGTCTTAAGTTGTTTTTTACAGGCACAGTCACGTCCTTACCATGCCTGACCCACTCCCTTGGCCTTACATCCTGAAAACCACGAATCAATTTTTTTTTCAATAATTTCATAATCTAAATAATGTTACATAAATGGAATCATACTGTATGAAAGCTTTTTTCACTCAGCATAACTATCTGAGGATGCATCCCAGTTGTGTATATCAATAATGTGTTGATGCAGTTGAACATTCATTCACTGAAGGATGTCTGGATTGTTTCCATTGTTTGGCAATTATTAACAGAGCAACGGTAAGCATTTTGTGCAGGAATTCATGTGCACATAAGTTTTCATTTCTCTGATATGAATACCCGTGGGTGCAATTGTTGGTTCATATATTAATTACACATTTGGTTTGGAAAAGTTGTCAAACTGTTTTCCCAAAGGGCGGCCCAATTAAATTCACACCAGCAATGTAAGAGTGATCAAGTTTCTCTACATTTTTGCCAGCATTTGCTGTTTCCTCCTATATATTCTTTTTAATTTTAGTCCTTCTGATAGGTTGGTAGTGATAGCTCATGGCGGTTTTAATTTCTATTTCCCAATTTGCTAAACACAGATTTTCCACAACCTAACAATTCCACTTCTATGTATATACCCTGGAGAACTGAAAACACATGTCATGCAAAAGGTTGTATACAAACGTCCATAGAAGTATTACTCATAGTAGCCAAGCCTTGAAAATAACCTAAATGTCCATCAATTGATGACTGTATACATAAAATATAGTATAACTGTACAATTAGATATTATGCATCAATAAAAAGGAATAAAGGTCTGATGCACGCTACAATATGGTTGGGAATAGAAAACATACTGCATGATGTGTGATAGAAGTCACACATTTTACATGAGTCTTTTTATTTGAAATGTTCAGAAGAGACAAATTAATAGACCACAGAAAGTGGATTCATGGTTTTCTAGAGCTGGAAACATTATTGACTGATAAATAGGTATGATATTTCACTTCGAGGTCATGAACAAATCCTATATCAATTGCAGTGCAGCAGCGAAACTCTCTGAATATACTAAAGTTCATTTAATTGTATATTTAAATAGGTAAAATATAGGATGTGTTAATTTTATCTCAATCAAGTTGTATTAAAAATCAAATGGTCATATTTTACAGGCTTATTTCTGGTTTTTCTAGTACTTTCAATTTATCTGTGTCTCTATCCTCCTGCCACTACCACATAGACTTGATAATTATAACAATAAAAAAGTATTAAAACAGAAAAACTGATAGTTTCACTTTATTATGTTTATTTTGAAAATTATTCCAGCTATTCCAGGTACTCTGATTTTTTTATGCTTAGGAAGTAAAAGTGCTTGATTAATTTTAATATTTTTAATTGTTTCCTTTTTTTTGGAAAATTTTGTGGCTATGTATAGTAGGTGTATATGTTTATGGGGTACATGAGATGTTTTGATACAGGCATTCAATGTGTGATAATCACATCATGGAAGATAGAGTTTCAGAATATAAGGACCTACAGAATACCAAACATTATTTATTAAAAAAATTACAAAGCTACACTCAATAAAATGAAATATTATAACATCAAAATGTTTTCCAAAGAACAGAGAAAAAATATTTCAAAAGCATGAAAAATGTTTGGAATTATATTTTTTCATTACAGAACTACTTGCTAGAAAAAAAAAGTTGAACAATTAATTTAGAAAGTGGATAGAATAAAACTTTGTTCCAAAGTTCTATAAACCTTTGTCCTGTTATTAAATTATAAAAGTAAGTGAAGACACATTTAGACATAAAATTATAATCAGTTATTACCAGAACAGGAGGTAATTGGCTAAAATGTGGGGGCTGTTGTGTCTGGCATCATGGCTGGGGTGGGGAATATTAGATGTGTCCTTATACTCAAAGGAAAATAAATTGTTCACCAAAAAGACACCTGCACTTGTATGTTTATTGCAGCACTATTCACAACAGCAAAGATACAGAATCAACCCAGGGGTTCATCAACAGCAGATGAGATAAATGAAATGTGATGCATACATATACACAATGGAATAGTACACAGCATAAAACGTACAAAATTATGTCCTTTGCGGCAACATGGATGCAGCTGGAGGCCATTATCCTAATCGAATTAATGAAGAAACACAAAAGCAAATATTGCATGTTCTGATTCATAAGTGAAAGCTAAGCACTGGGTCACATGGACAGAAAGATGGGAACAATAAACATTGGAAACTCCAAAAGAGGGGAGGAAGAGACGGAGGCAAGTGTTGAAAAACTACCTATCAGCTATTATGTTCACTACATGGGTGACAAGATAATTAAAAGCCTAAACCTCAGCAATATTCACTATACTTATGCAACAAACCTGCACATGTTCCATCTGAAGCTAAAATAAAATAAAATTTGAAAAAAAACATATATATATATTTTAGTGTTTTTATTTCTATTTTTAAACCTGCAAGTAAGATTCCAGATGGCAGCAACATGAGCGAGATAGATGTAGAAGAAAAATAGCAAAAGTTAAAAGAGGATTAATATGTTTGTTTCTTCAGAGTAGGGTAGTTACAAATTAGTTTTTATTAGAAAAAAAGAAAGATGAAATTGGTGAGGTTAATTTTTTAATAATACCCAATAGAAAAACAGATAACGGATATGCAATTTTTAAATATCAGTGGAGGAAATTTTTTATTCATAAAGGGAACTAAAATAACAAGAATCATGAAAGTGAAAAAAAAGGAAAGCAACAGGAAATGTAAAATCAGAAAGTGATTAAAAAACAAATATCAAGAAAGCAGAAATATGTTCTGATGGGTTGTAAACCTGCTACCTAAGAATTCTACTTTAAAGAATAAAACCTGGATAAATTAACTTAAAATGTAGAAACAAATAAATACAAAGATGTGCAGCATGTTTTGTAATTAAAAATAATAAGATGAATTATCTATTAGAAAATAAAAATATAAATGAAATCAATGTTACAAAACAAAACATGGAGTACATTAATCTATATAAACAAATAACAAATGATTAACAAAAATACTGTGATTGGTTGTAAATCTAAAAATTTGCAATGTGAAATCAGAAAACACACATGCTAGCCTTTGCCTCTGGAAATTGGGAGAGAAATCTGCTGGGGCAGTGTTAAAGGTGATATTAGCTTTCATGCTGTGTGCATGTTATTTAAACATCCTCTTTGAGATGAGCGCAATATAAAAAGTTGTTAATTTTTGGTATCAGGAACAAAGCTATTTGTTACATTTTTGCTTTATATTTTTAATAACCTACATAAGACAAAATGAGTATAATTGTAAAAAACAATGTGACAAGTTTGATAATTCAAAAGGTAATTAATTGCTTGGTCTTTGGAAATCTTATTAAATAAATTGAAAACCTTCAGCATCATGTGAAATGTGGCTATCCATAGCTAGATATGACATAGTCTATATTAAAGTCTGTGGGAGAACAAATGACAGATTACAGGTTGGAAAGAGAGGTCTTGGATTTTGAAATAGAGTCTTTTAGGGTCAAATATAGATTGAGAGAATACTGGAAAAAGTGATAGGCAAAGACCTCCACATATCACAGACGTAAAAATGCTATACCTAACTGGTGCTTATGTTATGGTCATGAATTCCGAAAAGCAATCAGTGATAAGTTATGCTGGTATTACTGATAAATAGTTTTGAAATTGTGTGTTTGTTTTGGCTATCATTGCACTGAGTGTCATGTCTTTGGCATATGATTCCACTTGAAGCTACAGATTTGGCAAAGATTGTTTTGAACCCGTGAAATTTGCTTTGTAAGAGGACAACAGAATGCAAGCTCCATAGGGCCAGACATTGAATGAATATAAATTAAAGGAATCATAAAATGCATGATGCATGAATAAACAGAAGTAAGAGAAAAAGAATAAAAGGAAAAAAGAAAGAAAGGAAGAAAATAAGGAAAGAAAGATTAAAGGAATAAATAAAGTAGTTTACAGGGTAAATTTCCAGTGCCACATATCTCTCATCACTAGTCAAAAAACACTCAGTAAAATATGTTCTTTCCCCAGAAAAGCAGCAGCCTGTGCTAACAAGCATTCTTCACAAGGTCATGCAGTCAAAGGCCCCACAGTTCTCTCCCAGGATATCCCTTCCAGGATAGTTGGTCAGTCTTTGAACTTCAACTACAATGATGTTTCTGACAGTTTTAAAATCCATTATTAGTCAGCATCCAGGAACAAACCAACTTGTATTGCAAGTTGACAGCAATAAGTTAAGGATCAGGAGATATTCCTTAAGGCAAGAACATATCGGTCTTTATAGAAGGATCAAAGCCCTTAGTAAAATAACATGGTAAGAGTCTTATTTTTTAGTAAAAACATAGAGCACTCGTTCTCGAATCTGTTTGGTCCTCACCCCATAAATGATGGGGTTGAGAGAGGGTGGGATAATCAAATAGAGATTGGCAACAAGAATGTGAATGTAACCTGGTATTTGGTGTCCAAATCGATGAGTAAGGAAAGAGAAGACTGAAGGGATATAGAAAACACAGATGACTCCAACATGAGCGCCACACGTGCTTAGGGCTTTTAGCTGAGCATCATGTGATGGGAGGCGGAAGACAGCACGGAGAATGTAAACATACGAGATGCCAATGAGCACCAGGTTCAGAACAAAGAAAGAAACTACAAAAAGCCCATAGATACCATTGATACGAATGTTTCCACAGGACAATTTTGCAATGCCCATGTGCTCACAGTAGGAATGGGCTATTATGTGAGCCTGACAAAAGGGTAGGCGGTAGATAAGATAGACCATGGGAAGTGTAAGTAAAACGGGACGAATTACAATGCACATGCTAATGCCCACCAACACTTGGGATGTCAAGATGGTTGCGTAATGTAGTGGAGCACAGACGGCCACATAACGGTCAAAAGCCATAGCCAGTAAGACCTCAGCCTCCATGCCAGTGAAGGCATGGATCAGAAACATCTGGGCCACACAAGCTCCATAGTTAATCTCGTGAGCATCAAACCAGAAGATACCCAGCATGCGAGGCACAGAGGTTGTAGAAAGGGCCAAATCAATAGTGGAAAGAATGGCCAGGAAGTAGAACATGGGCTCCCGGAGAGTCTGTTCTACCTTGATGACTAGCAGAATGGTGGCATTGCCCAGCAAAGCCACAAGGTAAACAGAGCAGAAAGGCCCGGAGATCCACATGTGGAAGTCTTCCAGACCTGGGATTCCAATGAGGAAAAATGTGACTGGGTGAAATATGCTCTTGTTGTGATAAAACATTTTTCCAAATCACAGTGTAGGAGAACTTGCCACATGTAGAAGCAGCAGCTGGGGAGAGAAGATTGAATAAGAAGTTTGTGTTTCATTCAGTATATGCAGAGCAAAAAGAAAAGGTTATTTGGAGGGTCCTGTTACTGTGTTTTGTAATCTACAGTCATTTGAATAGATCAGTCTCAAATAACTTAATTCTTATGTTTACATAATGATTGTAGTATAATGTGTAAACTTACACATTAAAAATTGAAGGATTCTATGACATAGAGTCTGATATTTAACTGGAATAATTGAAGATGCCCTGTACCCTTTATTAGTCCCTTGGTTGAAGAGGAATGCCTGAAAAATCAAAGATACACACAAGCGAAATGCCGATTAATTCAGGAGGAGACAGACTAATGAGGACATGAAGTTACAGACACAGATGTACACATATTTTTATAATTAAAAACTGCAAAAGTTCTTCTAATGATTTGTTAATCATTTATTGATGTAGGGCACATGCCAAGATTAAGCCTAATATCCTATCAAAAAGACAGAAAGATAACATGAGAAATGTAGATATAACAAACAAAAGCGTAAACACCCTGGAATGCTTGCCCCAGGAGCAAACACAGGCTGGGTCACATACCACCACACATGAAAGAGCTCAGAAAGAAAATAATAAACCTGTTGAGGATTTTCACTGATTAAAGTACTTTCTCAAGAGCAACAAATTTTTCGGTGGCTCATTTTGGATTTCTATAGTGATGGTAGTTTCTAGTGGTATTTGAAAGCATCATTTACTCTTCACTCTATATTAGTTCTCTAACTAGTATATACTGGGTTTATACCTCCTGCCTGATTAAGTCACTTTTCAGGTAGGTAGAGACAACCTAGAAGACTCCTTTGGTTATGTATTTGGAGAAGATGTTTTTGATGACACAAAACTGGAATAAAAAGGTCTATTTGCAGATAAAATTACTTTCTGTAATTTTCTAAAGGAAATATATAAGGGTGCTCTTTCAATGCTTTTGAAATTATGAAGAAGCAACCACTCATAAGCTGAAATAATGAAATCAAACTTCTGTGGGTCTCCAACTTGTGGCAGAGTGGTTCAGGATAGAAGAAAGTAGCACAGACTCCTGTTTCACCATTTATGTAGCTCCATATTTCTGACAAGTATGTCAAAGTGGAAAATACATCAAGATAAAAAATAAAATAAATAATATACCCATTCTGAGGTGTGGAGGGGGGTAGAGATATAGAGAGCAAGAAAGAGAGAGAAAAGGAGAGAGAAAGAAATAAGCTGTATTTCTACAGAAGTCCATTTTATTCCTTATAACCCATAGGAAAGGCAGAACATATATTTTACCAATAAACTATATAATTGCTTTGAATAAATACATCTATTCCATGGGTCTTCTAGATCGTTTTTAAATTTTCAATCTCCATTTAAGAGTTTCAAAGGATTTTTATTCCATTAGAGTCAGAAATTGTACTACCTGATCAATATCAAGCCCAGCAAGCTCAGCAACCCTTGATCATTTCTCACTTATTTCAATGTAATACATACCTAAGTCAAGAGAAAATTCACCTGCCTTATTATGTCATAGAAATATAAGCTCAAGGGGAGTATCAAGCAGCATGGCTCTATAGCCTTGTCATTTTTACAGTCCAAGAAGAGTCGTTTTATATTAAGGCTTTAGTTGCTTAGAACATTAGGAAAATTGAGTTAGCTGGGTTTTCTACTATAATTGGCACCATGAGATTGAATCCTCTGAGATGGTTAACAAAATTTTTGACTCTGATCTAGGGAATAGAAGCCCAAAGAAAAGTGATGAGTATAGAAATGTTCCTACAAAAAGATGCAGTTGTGGGAGCAAAAACATCCAAATATTATTATTTAATATATGGCATACAGATAGATACATTTTATTTCTAAGTGAAATTTTACCACCAAATTCTGTGGGATGTTGCTTTCTAGATAAAATAGTCCTTGATCCATATTAACTACCTAAGTTAAAGCCTAATAACCTGGCATTGCAGACTCCACGTTCAATCTTAGCTCTCGTATTCATTTCAATCACCATATGTTCTGAGTTTATTAAATGTTTAGTCTATGGATTAAGATCCTTGAGCCTTTGGTCACACTGCCCTCTGTCCATGATTGTTTCTCTATATTCCCCCACTTGCCAATTTTTCATACTTATATCACAGAGGTCATAGAGATAATTAGTAAAAATATCTACTCATGAAATGAGTTTGCTTCAGATCAAACACTGAATTTCTCATGTATACTATCTGTGTCAATTTGAATGACTTTCTTATTATCTCTTTGTCTCAGTTTCCTCAATTGAAAAATTAAGAATGATAATAGTACCCATAGCTTATAATATTTTTGAGGAATAATTTAAGTTGTTAATATAATACACTTAAATACAATACTTAGCATGCTTAAATGATTTTAAATGTTTTTAAAATGCTTTAAATGATTTTAAAATGTTAGTTTTTGTTATCACATAACTCAGCTCATAACAACACCTTCTTCTTAGACATCTGATCTATGAAAACCATATGGAGAAAACTCTCATGTCACTAAGTCTATACATTTGGTGTGAAAGTTCTCATTTATTCTAACATTTTATCCCTCGTTTTTCAGTCAAATGTATATATATATTTCTCATTCTCACTAAAATAACATTATAATAAATGGGAGAATTACTATCTTTTTACTTCATGCGGGAGAAGATATCTTAAACAATACTGAAGATACAATCAAGTTTAAGATGTAAAGCACAGACTTAAAAACATAAAGTTAAATTTGTCATCTTACTCTTTAGTCTTTTTGATTATATCACACAAACTTTAAATTTAAACTTCTGAAAGTTTACGAATTCAAATACAGGCATACCTCAGAGAGATTGCAGCTTCAGTTCCATACCACTGCAATGAAGTGAATGTCACAATACAGTGAGTCACACGAATATTTTGGTTTCCTGCTTGCTATAGTTTGAATGTCTGAGTCTCTGAAACTCATGTTGAAACTTAACCTCCAATGTGGCAGTATTGAAAGCTGGGGCCTTTCAGAGATAATTGGGTCATGAGAGTTCTGCCCTCATGAATGAATTAATCTACTTATGGATTAATGGATTAAGAGATTAATGGGAATGGAACTAAGAGAGACCTGAGCTAGCACATTAGCCCCCCTCACCATATGATGCCCCACACTTCCTTGAGACCCTGCAGAGTCCCCACCAGCAAGAAGTATCTCACCAAATGGGGGCCCTCAACCTCAGACATCTCAACCTCCATAACCACAAGAAATAAATTATATTATTTATAAATTACCCATTTTCAGGTATTCTATTATCAGGAACACAGACTATGACACCAATGCATATAAAAGTTATGTTGACACTATACTATAGTCTATTAAGTGTGCAATTGCATTATGTATAAAAATGCAATAAACATACATTAATTAAAAAGTACTTTGAAGAAAATGCTAATGATCATCTGATGGCTGCTGACTGCTCAGGGTGGTAGTTGTTGACAGTTGGAGTGGCTGTGGCAATTTCGTAAAATAAAACAACAGTGAAGCTTGTCAAATCAATAGACTCTTTCTTTCATGAAAGGCTTTTCTGTACCATGTAATTCTATTTTGTACCACTTTACCCTTAGCAGAGCGTCTTTCAGAATTAGTCATTTCTCTCAAACCCTGCTGCTGCCTCATCTACTCACTTTATATTATATAATACTCTAAATTATTTATCATTTCAACAAATCACTTTCTTTGCTCATCCATAAATAGCAACTCCTCATCCATTAACCTTTTGTCGTGAGATTGCAGCATTCAGTTCCATCTTCAGGTTTCACTTCTAATTCCATTTCTCTTGCTATTTCAACCATATCTGCAGCTGCTTCCTCCACTGAAGTCTTGAACCCCTCAACGTTATCCATGAGGTTGGAATGGGCTTCTTCCAAACTCCCGTTAATGTTGATGTTTGGATCTCCTCCATGAATCATAAATGCTCTTAATGTTATCTCCAATGGTGAATCCTTTCCAGAAGGTTTTCAATTTATTCCACCCAGATCCATCAGAAGAATCATTATCTACTTCAATTGTAACCTTATGAAATATTTCTTATACATTAAGACTTGAAAGTAAAAATTACTTATTGACCTATGGGCTGCAGAATGCATGTTGTGTTAGCAGACATGGAAACAAGATGAATCACATATGTCTCAATCAGAATTCTTGGGTGATTAGGTGCATTGTCAATGAGTAGTATTTTGAAATGAATATTTTTTTACTGAGCAGTAAGTGTGCTCAGTGTGCTTAAAATATTCAGTAAATGGCCGGGCGTGGTGGATCATGCCTGTAATCCCTGCCAGGCCAAGGCAGGTGGATCACAAGGTCAAGAGATCGAGACCATCCTGGCCAACATGGTGAAACCCCATCTCTACTAAAAATACAAAAAAAAAAAAAAAAAAAAATTAGCCGGGCGTGGTTGTGCACACCTGTAATCCCAGATACTCGGGAGCCTGAGGCAGGATAATTGCTTGAACCCAGGAGGCAGAGGTTGCAGTGAGCCGAGATCCGGCCACTGTACTCCAGCCTGGAAGACAGAGCGAGATTCCGTCTCAAAAACAAAACAAAATAAAAAATTTAGTAAACTATGCTATAAACAGATGTACTATCATCCAGGCTTTGTTGTTCCACTTACAGAGCACAGGCAGAGTAGATTTAACATAATTCTTAAGAGCCCTGAACTTTTTAGAATGATAAAATGAGCAATGGCTTCAACTTAAAGTCACAATTGCATTAGTAGCAGCAAGAGAGTAAGCCTGTCTATTGAAGCTTAGAAGCCAGGCATGTACTTTTCTCTACCTATGAAAGTGCTAGGTGGCATCTTATTCTGATATAAGGTTGTCTTGTCGACCTTGAATATCTGTTATTCAGGGTAGTCACTTCATCAATTGTCTTGGCTATAATAGGTCTTCTGGATAAGTTCAAACAGCTTCCACATCAGCATTTGCTACTTCACCTTGTCCTTTTATATTATGGAAACAGCATTTTGTCTTTAAACTCCATAAACTAACCTTTGCTAACTTCAAACTTTTCTTCTGCATCTTCCTCACTTCTCTCGTTCTTGATAGAATTAAACAGAAGTAGACCCTAGCTCTGGATTAGACTTTGACTTAAAGGAATATTTTGACTGGTTTGATTTTCTATACAGACCACTAAGACTTTTTCCATATCATCAATAAAGTTGTTTTGCCTTTTTATCGTTGATATGTTCACTGGAGTAGCACATGTAATTTCTTTCAGAGTATTTTCCTTTGCATCCACAACTTGGCTAACCTTTTGGCACAAAAGGCCTCACTATCGGCCGTCCTCACCTTTCAACATGACTTTCTCACTAAGCTTAATCATTTCTAGCTTTTAATTTAAAGTCATAGATGTGTGACTCATCCTTTCCCTTGAACACCTAGAGGCCATTGTAAGGTTATTAATTGGCCAAATTTTGATATTGTTGTGTCTCAGGGAATAAGGAAGCCTGAGAAGAGGGAGAGAGATGGTGGAACAATCATAACATATACAACAAAATACTGAAAATCAAAATTGTTAATTTTAAGAATCTACGTATGAATTTCAGGATCAAAGTAAACTAGATCAAGTGATAGAAGAAAAGAAAAAAAGTTAGAATACATGGAAGAAAAATAAGGAGTTTCTACTTTATCTTTATTTAAAAAGACTTACCAAAGAATATGGAAAGAAAATTGAGAAGAAAATATTTAAAGATATAAAGTCTGAAAAGTTTCTAGAAGTAATAGAGACATAAAATCTCAGAATATAAGGACCTATTATATACTGAACATGACTCTAAAAATTATAAATCGAGATTCAATGTATTAAAATTTTGGAATATGAAAAATAAACATGCTTTCCAAAGAATGAGGGGAAAAGTTCTTTTAAAACAGTGAGAAAATGATCAGTATCATATGTTTAATTAAGAGTATTGATGCCAAAAATAAACAACTGAATGAAGAATTAAGAAAGATGATAGAACAGAATTTTATTCAGAATTTTATAAATTTTTGATTTATCATTTAAATATGAGGGCAAATTAGAACATACTTAGACATAAAATTAGAATTATTACCAAAGCAGGGGTATATTGTGGCTGGTAATATGGCTTGGGTCAAAAATGCAAGAGATGTTTCTCCTAAGAATTGGTAAGCAAGAATATATTCATGAAGAGTTGTAGAAATAAATTGTTAATAATATATATCATCAAATAAAAATGGTTATTGAATATTATTTTAAAAAACTGGAAACAGGATTGCAGATAATCACAACATGAAAGAAATAAATGTACAAGAAAAACAGAAAACCTAAGGGGGACTAATATTTTTGTTTGTTCAAAGTATACTAGTTACAAATTACTTTCTTTATATATCTAATTTTTAGAAAGAGGGACTCTACAGGTTTGTGCCACCGTGCCAGGCTTTATTTATTTATTTATTTATTTATTTATTTATTTTCAGAAACAAGGTCTTGCTATGTTACCCCAGCTGGACAAATTAGTTTTATTAGAAAACAGAAAATGAAACTAGGAAAGTTAAAAATTTTAATAATATTTAGTAGAAGAAGAAATATAGCATATGCACCTGTCAAACATCAGTGAGAAATGGGATTTTTGAAAACAAGAACTAAATGAAATAATGGAAAACATAAAAGTGAGAAAAAAAATCAAAATATGTGAAATGTAGCCAGGTACGGTGGCATGTACCTGTAGTCCTAACTACTACAGAAGCAGAGGTAGGAAGACTGCGTGAGCCCAAAAATTCAATCCCCAGCAACATAGTGATACCCAGTCAAAAAAACAAAAACCAAAAAACAAAAACAAAGCGCGACAAATTCTGATATTCGAAGTACTTAATCAAAAATAAAGATCAAGAAGCAGAAATATGTTCTGATTCATTAAAATTCTGTTGCTTAATAATTCTACTTCAAAGTACAAAGCCTCAATGAATTACTATAAAAATGTAAAATATGCCACAAAGATGTGCACCGTATTTTCTAATTGGAAATAATGATAACTCAAATGTCCATAAACACAGGAATACATTAATGACATCAATGTTACAAAACAAAACATAAAGTATTTTAACCTATATAAAATAATAACGAGTGATCCAATAGACATGCTATGATTTGTTATAAAACTAAAATGTGTGCTGTGATATCAGAAAAACACATGCCAGACTGCCTCTAAAATCAGGAGGGAAACTGTGTTGGAGTGGTGATAAAGGTAATATGAACTTTCATGTTGCATATATTTTATTAAGCGTTATCTGTGAGATAAGTGCAGTGTTAAAAATTGTTAATTCTGGTTTGCAGGAAAAAATACATTTTTATATTTTAGAACTAGTTTCTTTTTAACAGTCTAAAAGATAAAATAATTAAAGTCATTAGAAATATAAAACAACGTTACTAATTTGATGATGCAAATCTCTATTGCTGGTCTTAAGACACTTCATTTTTAAATCAATTGAAAGCCCTCTGTCTCATGTGAAAAGTAGCTATGCATAAGTTAATCTGCAGCTTCTACATTAAAGTCAGGGGATCTAGAAATAAATCATAGACCTAAGATGAGAAACCTTGAATTTTAGGATAGAGTATTTTAGAATCAAATGTAGATGGAAAAAAACACAACTCGGTAAAGTGATAGGCAAAGGCCAGCATATATCACATATAAATGTTATACATTACTAGATTTTAAAAACTACACTTGTGACTATGCTATAAGCCTAAAAGCAAAGGGTACATCAGTGCTAAATTACTGTTGGTATCAGTGAGTAAAAGTTTTAAAATTATATGTTTGTTTTGGTTATGATTGCACAGAAACTTACACATTTGGCAGATGATTCCACTTGAAGCTACAGATTTGGCAATGATTTTTTTGAGCCCATGGACTTGGCTTTATAAGAGCATAACAGAATGCAAGCTCCACAGGGCCAGATGTAGCAGAAGGCAAGCTCCGCAGGGCAGACATTTGTGTTAGTTTTGTTTCTTGATTTATCCCATGCAGTTATAATTATTCAAAATATAAAACAAATACAATATGAATGTAAATTAAATTAGTAATCAAATACAGGAAGGAAGGAAGGAAGGAAAAAAGAAAGAAAGAAAAAAGGAAGAAAAGAAAATGAATGACATAGTTTACAGGGTTAAATTTCCAGTGCCACATATTTGTAATCACTGATCATAAAAGACTCAGTATAATATCTTCTTTCCCCATAAAAGAAGCAGCCTGCTGCAAACAAAGATTCTGCATGAAGTTATGCAGGCAAGGCGACACAGCACTTTCCCAGGATATCCTTCCCAGAATATTTGTCAGTCTTTGAACTTGAGATACCATGGAAGTTTCTGCCACTGTTAAAATCCATTAGTCAGCATCCAGGAACAAACCAACTTGTACTGCAAATTGACAGGAATAAGGAAGGATTAGGAGATATTCCTTAAAGCAAGAACGTATCAGTCTTCATAGGGGAGATCAAAGTCCTTAGTAAAAGAACATGGTCAGAATCTTATTTTTTAGTAAGTACATAGAGCACTCGCTCTCGTTTCCATTTAGTCCTCACCCCACAAATGATGGGGTTGAGAGAGGGTGGGATAACCAAATAGAGAGTAGCAACAAGAATGTGAATGTAATGTGGAATGTTGTGTCCAAATCAATGAGTAAGGAAAGAGAAGACCGACGGGATATAGAAAACACAGATGACCCCAACATGAGAGCCACATGTGCTTAGGGCTTTTAGCCGAGCATCATGTGATGGGAGGCAGAAGACAGCACAGAGAATGTAAACATATGAGATAACAATAAGGACCAGGTTCAGGAGAAAGAGGGAGACCACAAAGAGCCCATAGATAGCATTGACACGGATGTTTCCACAGGACAATTTTGCAATGCCCATGTGCTCATAGTAGGAATGGGCTATTATATGAGCCTGACAAAATGGTAAACGGTAGATGAGATAGATTATCGGGAGTGTAAACAGAACTGGACGAATTAAAATGCACATAGTGATGCCCACCAGCACCCGGCATGTCAAGATGTTTGTGTAGTGAAGTGGATTGCAGATGGCCACGTAATGGTCAAAGGCCATGGCCACCAGGACCTCAGCCTCCATGCCAGTGAAGGCATGGATCAGAAACATCTGGGCCACACAAGCTCCAAAGTTAATCTCATGAACATCAAACCAGAAGATACCCAGCGTACGAGGCACAGAGGTTGTAGAAAGGGCCAAATCAATTGTGGAAAGGATGGCCAGAAAGTAGAACATGGGCTCCCGGAGGGTCTGTTCTGCCTTGATGACTAACAGAATGGTAGCATTTCCCAGCAAAGCCAAAAGGTAAACAGAGCAGAAATGCAGGGAGATTCACATATGGACGTCTTCCAGACCTGGGATTCCAATGAGAAAAAATGTGGCTGGGTGAGAAGTGCCCCTGTTGCCATGGTATGCCATCCTGCACTGCATTGTTCTGAAGAGGTGAAGCTCCTTCTTTTGGGGGAAAGAGAGAGAGAAAGAGAAAGATCAGATGAAGCAGTTGCTAGCATAGCATAGCAGCTAGCATAGCAGCTGCTAGCACAGCAGTTGCTAGCATCAATTTCTAGCCCTGTGTTTCAGCACGGAATTGAATTCACATTTACTGTGCAAGCAGGCGGGTTCAGAAACTCCTGTACTGAGTCATTGCCTTAGCCATTTATACAGACCAGGGCATGGTGAAATTCAGAATTTTCATTCTGCCTGTTGATTGGGTTCTAATTCTATATATAGAGATTTGCAACAACCTTATTGAGTATTTCTAATAATTAATACTTTCCACTCACTTTGAAAGCAAGTAATACATTATTTTACTCTGGGAATTCACCCTCTGTTTAGTAACATTGGAAATATCAAGACAGCACATGGGGCCATGTGAATACAACACACAGACCCTCAAAGTGTCATTAGGTGATTCATAAGAATGTAAATCATAAGACCTCATGTACATAGGCACTTTCGCAATAAAAACCTAAATTCTTTAATTGACTGGCCTTGAGATACATATGTAAAAACTCTGACCCAAGCCCAGTAGCCTCTCAGATACTGAAGCAGAGTATAAGAAACATCGATTTCTCAGAAAAGTACTGGTTCCTGTGATGCCTGGCCAGAAGTAGAAATAGCAATTGTTTATGACCTCCAGGCTTAGGATTTTCAAGTGGGAAAAGGATAAGAAGGCTGTGTAATGCCATTTTCACACTCTGTTTATTATCTACCCCACACCAGGTATTCTTAGAGCACCTGTTAATTTTACCTTTGTTAATTTTTCCTCTACTATGGAGCCAATACTTATTTGTCACTCCTTCTACCACTTCAAGACACTAGATATGTGGGTAGAAGACAACACGGACAATCTCAGATAGTATTTGTGATAGAGAAGTTTTTTTTTTTTTTTGTAGTTCTCTTGGATAGCATTGTGTCAACTGAAAAACGATCAACTTTTGCAATAGTCTAAAAGGAATGAAGAAAAATACTTAAGTAATACCTTTAAAATGCTGCAAATAAACCAAATCACTCAAAATGAGCTAAGGAGGCTTGCCCTGGGGTCCTTGGTACAGCAGTTGTAATTCAAAATAAAGTTAAAAGATCCGTACTTTCATCTTTGGCATAGTTTCACTTTCTAATCATTTTTTAATTATCATTTTTTAATACAGTAAATATATCAAGTCAAAAATAACTTTTTTGAGGTGAAGCTCCTTCTTCTGGGGCAGAAACAAAGGGGAAAGAGAGAGAAAGAGAAAGATCAGATGAAGCAGTTGCTAGCATCAATTTCTAGCTCTGTGTTTCAGCACGGAATTGAAGAGTAAACTCTTCATCCTTTTGAGATTATTCCAACAGAGAGAGAACAAGTGCTGCAAAGTACACTGACTCTTATTGTATTGTATAAAAACATTGATATTCTGGACAATTAAAATATAATTGCTCAGCAGAAAGATAATGACAGCACCCAGGCTATAGACTTAAGGATTAAATCTAGGTGCCCACTCTCAAAAGTAGGTCTCCACTACCCTTATTTCTTCCTACTACCATAGAAACTGATTTAACCTAACGCAATTGGTAGGATGACATTTTAACTTGGATATTCATGAGAGATTTCACACATAATTTTTAAAATTTAAAACATAATTTATACATATTTTGGGCATCTATTATTTAATGCATACATAATATGTTCATATATTATAATTTTATACATTACATGTTAATATATAACTTTTTTTCGCTGCCTGGTGCAGGTCAGCCACATGGCCCAGTTCTCAGTGTGCACTGCTCATATATCTCTCCATGCACTGCCACACCTGCTCACCAGAAATCAGCGGCTGATTCACCTCATTCTTCCATAGGAATCAACACCTACACATAACATTGGGCAGCACAGTACTTAGTCCCTTTTCTGAGTAGCACTTGGAAGGTGTGCTAATATTAGGTTTCTAGAACCTCAGGGATATTATAAGAATACATCTAATTTTAGTCTCTACTTTATACAGAGCTCTGCAAATGAGTCCTCAGAGACTGCTCACCAACTCCTGGGTGCTGCTCTAGAAACACAGAAAAGCTCAAGGAAGGTAGAAGCAAGCTAAAGTGTAGGTAATACAATTTCAAGAAGTGGGACTAAAGCACACTCTCACTGTCATTTATCCTTGATATATGTAAAAACAGATAATTGTATCTCTACCTAATTGTGAATGTGTGGCCCAATTCTGTAGGCCTTTTTCATACAGAATAAACTGGCTAAATTCATGTCCAACATTTTAACTACCATAGTAGGCTTTCTGACTTAAACTATTTCTCTTCACTGATAGTTTTTTCAGACCAAATATAACTGACTTGAATTTCTCTAATTAGCATAAAAACACAAAGTCATGATCTTTTTGTCCATTGTGTTTTCTATACATGAATTCTCAAAACCAAAACCACCAAAATTTTACATATACAACTTTTAAAACTCCTACTAATAAATACCTAAAATTTCAATCCTGGAGTCTGACTGCTGGTGTACAAATACTGACTTTGTCACAAACTAGCAGTAAAATTTTGAATGACTTGTGTATCATTTCTACATCTCAATTTCCTTATCTATAAATGGGAATAATAATAGTATTTCCTTCGTTGGGTAGATTTGAGATACAAATTTTTCTGAGGCATTTAGAACTTTGTCTTGTACACAGTAAATCACCAGTTATAGTCATTTTTTAAACTATTATTTTATTAATTTATATTTTAGCTCTAAATATTTTAGCTCTTAAATAAAATATAACTAAATAAAATTTAGTTATATTTTAGCTCTTGAAAACTTCATATAAGTGATTATTGCAAAACAAATTGAGGAAATTTATACTACCAATTATGTAGCCATTTTTCTTCTTAACTCTAATGATGTGAAACATGTTCTCTCTAATCTTAGACTCAAATATATATATATATGTGTGTGTGTGTTTGTGTGTGTAGTTCTTATTAGAATGTGGTTATCTGGAGTGAAAAATTATATCTCTTTATTACACAGTGGAGGTTTCTGAGAACCTCCTTAAGACAGAACTACTTAAGCAAATAAAGCATGAAATTAAAAGCATGTGCAGTAATATTCTTTATCTGGCCTAGTCTGTCTTATCCATTATTCCATACCAACATTTCGTTAATGTTATCTCCTCCAAATTTACAATTTTTGCATTCCTGTATATATACAATGATATATTCTCTAAGGTCCAATCAGGTCTTCACATCTAATCAAAATTAATCTTAAGACATTTACTCAGAGGTGCATTTGTTTTCTCTGAGTGAATGAGGAAGCATCTGAAGTTGAGAGCTGCTAAAATATGTTGGATACAAGTGGGGAACTAACCTTAAGAGCAAGATGAGATACAGAATTTTAACACCAAATATTAAAACAAAATTGACCCTCATTACATGGTTTAGTTATACAAACAACTCTTATATAAAATCGAACCAGCATCTTTAATGCTGTGAGAGCCAATAAATTTCCTTTGAAGGTCTATATTATCTTTTCAAAAATATGTAATATAAAGTATCCCAACAGACACAGATTTAATTTTTTTTCTTGGACACATCCCTCACAGTGGCACCAGTTCTGTAGTTCTGCTCTGAAATGGTTGCACTTAGGTGTCTTGCTGAGAATATCTTTTATTTCTCTTTGGTTTTGGAGCCCCTGTTCCTCAAACCTCCTATCTTCCTATTTTACAGATAGCCTTGCAATTTTTCTGGAACAAATCTTTAAGTAAATTCCCAAAGTATGATAAATGGGAAGTATAGTTTCAAAACTTTATATGACTAAAAAGTGCTTTGCCCTCAACCATGATTAATATTTTGGGTCTAGTCATTATTATCAGTTGAATTGTAGCCCCTGAAAATGTATATGTTAGAGTCCTAAACCCTCATTACCTCACAAAGTAACCTTACTTGGATCTCTTTTTTTTATTTATTTTTTTTTTTTTGGTAATTGTTGTTGTTGTTTTATTTTGTGGTGAGAACACTTAACATGTGGTCTGCCCTCAACAAATTTTGAACTTCACACTACTATATTGTTTACTACAGGCACTAAAATTATTCATCTATCATAACTTCAACTTTGTACTCACTAAACAACAACTTCCCATTTTCTCCAGCCCCTTAACTTCTGGAAACCATTATTGTCTTATTCACTTCTGAGTTTCACTAGTATAAAAACTTCATTTAAAGTAGAATCATGCCACATTTGTCCTTCTATAAATGGATTATTTCACTTAGTGTAATACCCTCATGTTATTGCAAATAGCAGAATTTCCATTTTTAAGTTTAAATAATATTCTATGCATATACCACATTTTCTTTAAAATCAATAAAAGTCAAATAAAATGGAGAAAATCAACAATGTGGAAAGTTTGTTCTTTAAATAGTTTAATAAATACATAAAATTTTTAACAGAAATGATCATGAGAAAACAGAGAAAACACAGTTCATACTGTTAATGGAAGTGGGAGCCATTACTACAGATCTCACACACATTTAAACATATTTAAATCATGCAGTGAATACAATGCAGAATATTTTTGCATTACACTAGATATCATAGTTTAAATGACATGTTGTTTCTAAATATACCCTCAGAATTTAAACAAGAAAGACAAAATTGGATCATTGTTCCTCTAAATATTTAATCCATAATTTTTAAAAAGTCACTCAAAAAGTCTTCAATCTGAAAGAGTTTCATTTGTGATTTTATCTCAACATTTACAAAGGAGCTAATACCAGTAGAGTCCAAAGTCTTTGAGAGTATAGAGTATTTCCCAACTGGTTTCATGAGTGATAACTGAACCAGTCAATTATATTCTGAGGAAAGGTAATTAAAGACTAACGTGTTTTATAAGCACAGATATAAATACCCTTAAAAATTATCAAATAGAATACAATGTTGTATCAAGAGAATAACACATTGCAAACAAATGAAGGCTATTCTAGTACATAATTTGTTTTAAAAAATTATAGATATACTTCTTCACACTGCCAAAGATAGAAAAAGATGATCACCTTAATATATAAAATTTAAACATTTTTATCCTTTTAATAAAATTTTTATACTAACATTTTACTTTTAATTTTTGGTACATCATAGGTGTATATTTTTATGTATATTTGGATACAGGCATACAATGCATAATAATCACAGTGTGGTAAATGGAGTATGCATCACCTCAAGCATTATCATTTATTTGTGTTACAAACATTCCAATTCTTTTATTTACTTTTAAGTGTATAATAAATAATTGTTGACTGTAATCATCTTGTGCTATGAAATAGTAGATCTTATTCATTCTAACTATATTATTGTACCCATTAACCATTTCCATTCCCTCCACCACTACTATTTTGTAAGATTTCTGAGTAAACTAGAAACAGATGTAACTACCCTAATTTTACAGATACACATAAAAATAATACAGCTAAAATTATATTAATGAAAACATATTCAATATTTCTCCTATAAGGTCAGGTAAAGTCAAAGATGTCTTATAAATACTTCTATTCAGAACTGCACTATATGCCCAAAAGAGTATAATACAGTAAGAAAAATTATAGAAAAAAAGATGAGAATTTGAAAGAATAAAGTAAAAGTCTCTATTTACTTATATGATTGTGTATATAAGATATTCAAAATATTTGTATTTTTAAAAAATTCTGAGTAATATTCAAAAACACATTCAATTTTAATATTCTTAAAAACAATGTAGAAATTAATTTGAAAATACAATTTACCAAGTAATTGCATTATTAGGTATATATCTGAGGAATTGCTCCTCACAAGAGGGCATTAGCTGCAGGGGTCTGCCTGCAGACCCTGACCCAAACGATGGATGAATAAAATGTACATTGACACACAGATAATCTGTTATGCCAGTCCTGCTGAATGTCCGACCACCTGCACACCAAGAGAGGTTTGTCACTGCGGCTGGCCTTGAGAAGCTTGCACTCCAGACATTTATTTAGTATACAATTAACAACAGAAGCTCTGAGTCAACACACTTGTGGATAATTAACATGGTTAAGAGAGTAGTTCTAGGAATGATTAAAGCTCAGCTAAGGTGGTCTGAAGTAAATACCACCAGGGGGGCAGTTTCCCTGGCTGACCTCCCACCCAGAGGGCCATCTGGCTCAAAGGTTAGTTAATGGAGGTAGGGTAACCAGACTTAACTGGGGAAGCCTCTATTGTCCCTAGCATTTACCGTATGACCTAATGCTCTAAGGTAAGAACCGGCTGCCTTCAGCCTGTTCAATTATTACAAGCTATGTAACCTTTTGGCCTTCCAAAAAGGTTCATGACTATTCCTTATAACATTCCCTAATATTTCCCTTCAATATTCCTGCCGCCATCCTGAGTGAATCCCAACATATACCCAAATGAATATAAATTGTTCTACCATAAAGACACATGCACATGTGTACATCGCAGCAGTATTCACGATAGCAAAGAATGGAATCAACCTAAATGCCCATAAATGGTAGATGGATAAAGAAAATGTGCTACATACATACTATAGAATACTATGCAGTCATAAAAAAGAATGAGATTATGTCCTTTCCAGCAACATGGATGAAGACGGAGTCCATTATCCTAAGTGAACTAACGCAGAAACAGAAAACCAAATAACAAATGTTCTCACTTAAAAGTTGGAGCTAAACATTGAGTGCATATGAACACAAAGAAGCTAACGAGACACTGGAATTTACTTAAAGGTAGAGTGAGGGAGGAGGGTGAGGACTGAAAAACTACCTATTGGGTACTATGGTTATTACTTGGATGGTGAAATAATCTGTACACCACAGCCCTGTGACATACAATTTACCTATATAATAAACCTGTACATGTATTCCTAAGTATAAAATGAGAGTTAAAAATAAATTAAAATAAAATATAATTTATATAGCATAAAAATCAAATATGTAAAAACTAACCAAATACTTTCAATATATTGACCCTGGAAACATGGGAACATTACAGGGAATTCCAAAGACATGTGGATAAATAGATGGATATACTATGTCCATTGATTGTATTACTGTGTCAAGATGTCAATCTTCCCAAATTAATTTAGCAGTTCAAAACAATTCTAATGAAAATCTTGGTAAGCTTTATAGAATTTGACAGCTTGATTGAACCTATAGAATATGACTTATAGAACTGACAGAATTTGACTTATAGATTGAACTTACAGAATTTGATAACTTGATGTGGAATGCAAAGATCTAGAATACTCAAGGCAGCTTTGAAAGAAATAAAAGAGAATATCATGATTTATTCATTTATTTTATGTATTTTTTTTGAGACAGAGTCTTGCTCTGTTGCCCAGGCTGGAGTGCAGCAGTGCCACCTTGGCTCACTGCAACTTCTGCCTCTTGGGTTCAAGTGATTCTCCCACCTCAGCCTCCAGAGTAGCTGGGACTACAGGTGTGCACCACCATACCCTGCTAATTTTTGTATTTTTAATAGAGACAGGGTTTCATCATGTTGGCCAGGCTGGTCTTGAACTCCTGACATTAAGTGATCCCCTTGCCTTGGCTTCCCAAATTGCTAGGATTACAGGTGTGAGCCACTGAGCCTGACCTCCACCAGTTTTTGGTATCAAGATAGTCCTAGCCTCATAGAATGAGTTGGGGAGCAGTCCCTCTTCTTCAACTCTTTGGAGTAGTTTCAATAGGAATGATACCACCTCTTTTTTGTACATATTTTAGAATTCTGCTGTCAATCCATCTGGTCCTGGGTTTTTTAGGGGTTGGTAGGCCATTTTTACCCACTCAATTTTCAAGCTCTTTATTGGTCTGTTCAAGGAATCAATTCTTCCTGGCTCAGTGTTGGAAAGGTATAGGTATCTAGGAATTTATCCTTCTCTTCTAGGTTTTCTAGTTGTGTGCACAGAGGTGTTCATAGTAGCTTCTGATGTTTATTTTTATTTCTGTGCGGTCAGTGGTAACATCCCCTTTGTTATTATGTTTATTTGGGTCTTCCCTTTTTCTTCATTAGTCTAGCTAGTGGCTTATTTTATTAATTAAACAAAAAGACAAATCCTGGATTCATTGATCTTTTGAATGGTATATCGTGTCTCAATTTCCTTCAGTTCAGCTCTGATTTTGATGATTTCTTGTCTTCCGCTAGCTTTGGGGTTGGTTTGCTCATGGTTCTTTAATTCTTTCAATTGTGATGTTAGGTTATTCATCTGAGATCTTTTTAACTTTTTGATGTGGGCATTTAATGCCGTAAATTTCCCCCTTAACACTGTCTTAACCATGCCCCAGAGATTCTGGTATGTTGTATATTTGTTTTCATTAGTTTCAAAGAACTTCTTGAGTTCTGTCTTAATTTCATTATTTACCCAAAAATCATTCAGGATCAGATTGTCTAATTTTCATGTAATTGCATGGTTTTGAGCAATTTTTTTAGTCTTGACTACTGTTTTTATTGCGCTGTAGTCCAAAAGGGTGTTTGGTATGATTTTGGTACTTTTGACTTTTTTTGAGAATTCTTTTATGTCCAATTGTGGAGTTGATTTTAGAGTATGTGCTATGTGGCAATAAGAAGAAGGTATATTATTTTGTTTTGGGGTAGAGAGTTCTATAGAGGCCTATCAGATCCATTTGGTCCAATGTTGCATTCAAGTCTTAAAAATTTTTGTTAATTTTTTGCATCAGTGATCTGTCTAATAATGTCAGTAGAGTGATGCAGTCTCCCACTGTTATTGTATGAAAGTCTAAGTCTCTTTGTAATTTTCTGAGAACTTGCTTTATGAATTTTGGTGCTCCTGTGTTGGGTACATGTATATTAAGAATAGCTCAGTCTTCTTTTTGAATTGAACCCTTTATCATTATGTAATGACTTTCTTTGTCTTTTTTTTTTTTTCACATCTTTGTTGGTTTAAAGCGTGTTTTGACTGAAATTAGGTTGGCCACTCTTGCTTTGTTCTGATATCCATTTGCTTGGTAGATTTTCCTCCATCCCTTTATTTTGAGCCTATGGGTGTCATTGCCTGGGAGATGGGTCTCTTGAAGACAGCATACCACTGGGTCTTGCTTTTTTTTTTTTTTTTTTTAATACAGCTTGCTAGTCTCTTCCTTTTCAATGGAGCACGTAGCCCACTTACATTCAAGGTTAGTATTGATATGTGTGAATTTCTACCAGTCATTGTGTTCTTAGCTTGTTATTATGCAGCCTTGTTTATGTGTTTGCTTTATAGTGTCCCTGGTCTGAGTACTTGAGTGTGTTTTTGCATTATCTGATAATGGCCTTTGCTTTCTATATTTAGTGCTGCTTTTAAGATCTCTTGTAAGGTGGGTCTGTTAATAACAAACTCTCTCCACATTTGCTTATCTGAAAATGATTTTATTTCTCCTTTGCCAGGAAGATGAGTTTGTCTGGAAATGAAATTATTGGTTGAAGATGTTTTTCTTTAAAAATGTTGAATATAGGCCCCCAATCTCTTCTGGCTTGTAGGGTTTCTGCTGAGTGGTTCACTGTTGGCATAATAGGGGTTCATTTGTAGGTTACCTGCCCTTTCTCTCTAGCTGCCTTTAACATTCTTTCTTTCATTTCAATCTTGGAAAATATGATGATTATGTTTCTTAGGGATAATCTTGTGTAGAATCTTGCAAGGATGCTCTGTATTTCCTGAATTTGACTGTTCACCTCTCTAGTGAGGTCACAGAAGTTTTCATGGATGATAACCTGAAATATATTTTCCAGGTTTTTGCTTCCTAGATATCCCTTTCAGGAATGCCAGTGATTTGTACATTTGGCCTCTTTACATAGTGCCATATTTCTCAGAGTCTCAGAGACTTTGTTCATTTCTTTTCATTCTTTCTTTTTTTTTCTCTAACTTCCTTATTTCAGAAAGCCAGTGTTCAAGTTCTGTGATTCTTTCCTCAACTTGGTCTATTATGTTCATAATACTTGCATTTGCATTATGAAATTCTTGCAATGTGTTTCTCTACTCTAACAGATGATTTAGTTTTTTTTTAAAAAAAACTGGATATTTAATCTGTCAGCTCCTGTATTCTTTTCTTGTAATTCTTATTTTCCTTGGATTGGGTTTTGCCTTTCTCCTGAATGTTGATGATCTTAATTCCTATCGACATTCAAAATTCCATTTATGTCATTTTAGCCAACTTGGCCTGGTGAAGGACCCTAGTTGGAGAACATGTGTGATTGCTTAGAGGATATAAGACACTGGCCATTTGAGTAGCTAGAGTTCTTACATTGATTCTTTCCCATCTCTGTGTGTAGGTGTCCCTTTAACTGCAATATAGGTTGAGTACAGTCAGTATAATTATTTTCTCGATGTTTCCAGAGGGTTGAGGCTTTGTGCAGAGTCTTCATTTGTAGCATACTTCCTGTCTTTGGTTTTACAGGGGGGTATGTTAGTGAGCTATTTTGGTGTTTAAGCTTTGTGTTGTGATTCCAGTAGGTGATTCTTAAGTGTAATGGTCAGTTGGTAGATTCTTGCTCATCTGTGTGGCTCTCCTATGTTTCCTCACAGCTGCAGCTGTGCTCCTTCTCAATGCTCTGAAAGTGTGGGCTCCTCTTCCACTTGAGTGCTGGCTGTAAATCGCAGCTTGGCACTCTGAGGCTGCCCCCTGCTGCTCTTGGGTGATCTCAGGGTTTATGTTTCCTCCCAACTTGGAGGCATCAGGGGCAAGGACCTTAGTAGTGGTTGTGGCTGAGGGTCTTTTGCCTGTCTCCTGGAGGCTCCATCCCAGAGAGAAGCAGGTCAGCAATTGCTCAGTGCAATCAGCCTGGGATGGGTGGTCTGTGCTGTGGGCCCAAGCCAGGGACTCCCTGCCTAGTGATGAGCAGGGAGGTGGTTGGGGTTCATGGGAGATGGACTGGCTTTTTCTCCTTGGGTCAACTGCAGATTGCTGGAGTTGTGGATAAGGCACTAAGCGTCTTTGCACCTTCATTAGTCTGAGGGTAGCAGGGGTACTATTACTGCGGAGACTGGCAGAGAGGCTTACGGTTGCCCCAGGGAGCTCCACCTCCAAGAAATGCAGAGCTGCTGTTACTGGGAGTGTTCAGCTGGTGGGGTGGGGTAGCTGCACTGCTGGCATAAGCTTCAGGCTCCACTTGTTGGGAAGCAGGGTATTGGGGGTCACTGGGAGGAGAGACTGGTGTCTCTGTATGGTGACTGTGGTGTGCTGTAAGTTCAGGTATAGCCCCAAGACTCTTTGTCTCCTCGCAAGAAACAGGGAAGAAGGGATAGAATCACTGTTGTGGCAGTGGCAGAGGGACTGTTAGATGCCTCTGTGAGCCTCTCTCCAGGTAAACTCCAAGCCTACCAGTGGGTATTCTCAGCTGCGGGTGGGGACAACTGTTTTGCAGTCATGAGCTGGGGGCTCTGCCAGGTGAAGAGTGGGGAGTGGGTGTTGCCAGAAACAAAAAAGACTGGACTCCTCTCCATACAGTGTACTAGCAGTGCCAGCATAGTGACTAGGCCCTTTGTTCCTTCCCCAGCCCAAGGGCTGTTAGTGGGGTATCACTGCAACCGTAGTAGCGGAGGGATTGTGGGGTGATTCTGGGATTTCCTCCTCAGAAATTCCAGTCTGCCACTGATTGAGGTAATCAGGTCAGAGCAGCGTTCTTATTCTGGAGTCCCAGGTCAGGAAGCCTTGCCCAGTGAGGATAGGTGAGAACTAACACCTGCGTAGAGAAAAGTTTGGCCATTTTTCTTTGAGGTGGTTGGCTTATGCTGGGGGTCTGGACCAGCCCCTAGTCCCCATGGATTCTCCATAGCCTGGATACAGCAAGGGTACAAGATGCAAGACAACAAAGATGGCAACCTCCCACTGGAAGCTCTGTCCCAGGGAGTTGCAGAGATGCTACTGGCTTGACAGCACTAGCATAGGGTGGCTGGAGAACCAGGCCTGGAGGTTCCACCCAGTGTGGAGATATGGGATTGGGGACCCATGTAATAAGCAGTCTGGCCACTTTTCTGTAGGGCTGCTGTGGTTTGCTGGGGATCTGCTCCTGTCCCTAGTAACTCTGGGTTTTCTAGTACCTGAAGGTATCAACAGTAAAGGCTGCAAAACAGCAAACATGGTGGCTTCTCCTCCCTCTAGGACCTCCACTCTAGGGAGGTATGGACATGTTGCAAGTCCAAACACACTTGCAGGATGTGGCCGGACACCCGGGTCTGGAGATCCCACCCATTGAGAAGGAACGGGATCGGGACCCTGTGTAAAATAACAGCCTGGCTGCTTTTTTGAGCAGCTGCGCTGTGCTGGTGGTTTGCTCCAGCCCCCAGACGCCTTGTACTGCCCAAGGCCCAAAGGCAAGAATGGCTAAGACTGCCAAACAGTAAAGATGGCAGCCCACCCCCCACTTCTAGAAGCTCCATCCTAGGGAGATTTGAAACTTCTGTCATCTGGAAAACAACTGTAGGGTTGACTGGATACCCCAGTCAGAAGATTCCATCCAGTGAAGAGAAATAGGATCCAGGATCTACATGAATAAGCAGTCTGACCACTTCTCCGTAGAGCTGCTGGCTCTGCCAGGGCACTGCTTCAGCCCTTAGTCCCCTCAGACTCCCTAGACCCCAAAGGCAAGGATGGCTAAGGCTGTGAAACAGCAAAGATGGCAGGCCACCCCTCCCTGTTAGAGCTCCATCTCAGGGGTGGGTAACTGCTGCTACAAGTGACTGGCTGGATTCCCAAGCCAGTGGGTCTTATCCTGCAAGGTGTTTTTTAAGTGGGGCCCACAGCCCATTGCTGCTCAGCCCCCTGGATTCCAGCCTCTTTCCTAGGGGTATGCACGGGCTTCTAACCTCCTGGTTTGCCAGAATAGTAGCTGATTTTTCAGGAAAGCCTGGGTATCTAAGGCTCCCAGGGCTCCACATGTGCCAGAGCAGCTGGTCTGCTGAGACTCCATATAGCTCTGTGTGTCAGACCGCAGGTCCTGGTGGGGTGGGTTCATAAGGGGATCTCCTGACCAGAGAGTTGCAAAGACTGGTGGAAGAAGCGTGAGTCCCTGGGGTTACTCACTCACTTACCACTTCCCACCACATAGCCAGGAGGTTCCCCTGGCTCCATGTTGCTATTGAGTGAGCAGTTGTTCTGACTTGCTTTTCTCCATTCTCCATGGGGCTAGTTGTCTCCTTGATGAGTCCCAATGTGTGTACCTGGATGTTTCAGTTGAAGGTGCTGTATTTACTCACCCCTTCCATTTCTCTATGTGAAAGCAGTGCTCACTAACTGTTCCTAGCTGGCCGTCTTGACCAACCCCCTTTCAAGTCATAATATATAAGAAACACATTTTGTAAAGTCATAGCTACCATAGACAGTGATTCCTCTGATGGATCTGGGGAAAGTAAATTGAAAATCTTCTGGAAAGGATTCATCATTGTAGATGCCATTAAGAACATTTGTGATTTATGGGACAAGGTCAAAATATCAACATTATCAGGAGTTTGGAAGAAGTTGATTTCCACCCTCATGGATAACTTTTAGGGACTCAAGGCTTCATTGGAGAAAGTAACTGCAGATGTGATGGAGATAACAAGAGACCTAAAAATAACAAGAACAGGGAACCTAAAGATGTGACTGAGTTGCTGCAATATTGTGATAAAGATTTAAGAGACAAGGAGTTGTTTTTATAGGTCAGCAAAGAAAGTGGTTTCTAGAAATGGAATCTATGCCTGGTAAAGATACTTTGAACATTTTTCTAAGTAACAACAAAGGATTTAGAATTTTATAAACTTAATAAAGCAGCAGCTATGTTTTAGCAGGCTGACTCCAGTTTTGAAATTTCTACTCTAGGTAAAATGCTGTAAAACAGCATTACATGCTACAGAGAAAACTTTCATGAAAGGAACAGTCGATTGATGTGGCAAATTTTATTGTCTTATTTTCAGAAGTTGCCACCACCACCCTAGCCTTCAGCAACCACCATCCTGTTCAGCCATCAACATCAGGGTAGGACCTTCTACCAGCAAAAATGTTATTATTTCTGAAGACTCAGATATTTGCTAGTATTTTTAGTAATACATTATTTTTCTAAATTGTAGATTTTTTTTAGACATAGTACCATTTCACCATTAAGAGACTATAAAATAGTGTATGCATAACTTTTATATATATAGGAAACCAAAAGATTTTTTATGACTTTCTTAATTGCAGTATTCACTTCATTTTGGTGATCTTGAACCAAATGAAGTATCTCTAAAGTACAGGTGTATCACTAGAATTAAGCTGGTATAAATCTAAAACTGATTCTTTTCAGAGGAGATGTAAGCTATGGACAACCATTAAGGAAAACATCAGTAATATATAACAAAAATAGTTAAATAAATTAAATCTTAAGACAGTATTATTTTAGAACAA
This sequence comes from Homo sapiens, assembly GCF_000001405.40. Lineage (NCBI taxonomy): Eukaryota > Metazoa > Chordata > Mammalia > Primates > Hominidae > Homo > Homo sapiens. The sequence continues at coordinate 5,022,582 of NC_000011.10, read as the reverse complement.
AAGAAAGCAGAAGAGAAGGAATAGAGAAACATACAAAAATGAGACATATAAAGAGCAAAAAGTAAAATTGCAGATGTAAATCCAACTATATCAATAACACTAAATACAAATGGATTCACAATTCAAAAAACTGAGTTTGTCAGACTTGAAAATTAAGTACGATTGCAAGCAAAATGGCAGAAAAGGAGATATCCTACTTATATGCCACATAGCAACAAGAATTTGGAAGCAATTTGTATATACAAAAGCTCCTTTGTAAAAGCTTTTGGATTAAGGTAGGAGGTTGCAAAACTCTATTGGAGCCCTAAATTGAGGAGAGCTATTTTGAGCTGACAGGCCTGCATTTAGGTGACAGTCTTGCTGAACAGAGTCCTGGACAGAGGCCTGGAAATGATTCATCCCACTATAGACTCAGCTACAACCTGAGTTTGCCCTCAGTCCTTCAAATATAACTATCCGCCAAGGGACTGGAAGAAGTCATGTCCGTCCATGCCTTGGGTAAAAGGCCTTGTTTTCAGCTTTGAAGTAACCATGTAACTCATCTCCAGTCTTTGTCATCTATGGTCTGAGAGTAGTCATTCCTGCACAGGGACCTGTAGGGAGAGAAGTCCATTCATGCGTCTTGAGGCAGGCCTAAATAATAACATTCTGACCACAGATCTTGAAGCCCTCCTGTGATCCAGCTTCTGCCCCACTGAGACACATTCTAGGGATAATCCTGTCTGCCCAGGAACATTGAGGGAGGCATGACCATCTGTGCCTCTGGAGGCAGGCCTGCTGACCTTGGCCTTGGCTGTGGACCTTGAAGCAGCCTTGTGATTTAGTTTCAATCCCTCTCAGTGACAGTTGAGGGCCATTCCAGCCAAGCCATGTGCATAGCCAATGACATAGAGGGAGCCCTCCCAGGGACCTAGAGGAAGCCAGACTTGACTGCACACCTGGTAACATACCTGCCACCTGAAGAGCTAGCTGTGGACCTTGAAACAAACCTTATTTCAGTGCCAGCTCTACTGACCAATTTCCTGGTATTATCTAGTCCATCCAAAAACAAGACAGAGGCCACACTCGCTTTAGCCCCTCATAATACACCCACTAATCACAGATTGCACTGTAGACTCAGCAGCAGCAACATAACTCAATTCCACACTAACTCAACTCAGATCTTACAGGCAACTTCATCAGCCTGGACAACCAACAAAAGAAGGTCTTTACTTTCAAAATCAGTCAACAAAGTCTAGAAGAGATGTTTTCTCCTTCAAATGTGCAGACACCAATGCAAGGCTACCTGCACAACAAAGAATTAAGCAAGCATAACACCACCAAAGAAAACTACTAAAACTTCAGTTATTGACCCCAAAGCAATGGCGATTGACAAATTACCTGACAAATAACTCAAAATAATCAGCTTAAAGAGGGTTGATGAAATGCAAGAGAACACAGATAAACAACTAAACACAACGAAGAAACAATACAGCAACAAACAAGAAGTTTAATAAAGAAATAGAAACCATAAAAAAGAACTAAACAGAAAACCTAGAGTCAAAGAATACAATAAAAGAACTGAAAAATACAATAGATATCTTCAACAGCCAACTCAATAATACCAAGAAAAAAATTATTGACCATGAAGAAAGTCATATAACATTAATAAATTAAAGGAACAAAAAGAAATAATGATTTTAAAAAACTGTTAAGAAAGCATAAAGAACCTATGGGAACCACCAAGCAAACAAACATACGAATTATGAGATTCCCAGAATGAGAAGAGAGAAAGAAAGGGACAAAAAAGCATTGGTAAATAGTGTCTGAAAATGTTCCAGATGTTGGGAGAGACACAGGCATCCAAATTAGCAAAGCTCAGATGACCTCTCATAAAATCTAACAAAAGAAGAACACCCCAAAATATGATAATCAAACTGTCAAAGGCCAAATAAAAAGAGAGAATCTTGAAAGCAGCACACGAAAAGAGACTTGCCACTTACAAAGAAATGTCTACGAGGTTATCAGCAAAATTCTCAGCAGAAAGCTTGCAGGCCAGGAGAGAGTGGTATCAGATAGTCATTTTTTGTCCAAAGAAGAGAAATAAATGACCAACAGGCATAAGAAAAGGTTTTCAATATTATTAATTATCAGAGAAGTGTAAATCAAAACCACAGCAAAATATTGCCTCATATCTATTAGGATGGCCATTATCAAAATGACAAGACATAAGAAGAGTTGGCAAAAGTTTGGAAAAAAAGGAACCCTTTACACTGTTGATAGGAATACAAATTGGTAGAGTCATTCGGGAAAACAGTGTGAAGATATTAGAAAAACTGAAAAATGAAACTACCATACAATCCAGTAATTCCACTTCTAGGTATACATCCACAGGAAATAAAATCAGTATTTCAAAAAGATATTTGCACCCCATATGTTCATTGCAGAATTACTTACAATAGCCAATATATGAAAACAACACAAATGTTCATATACAGAAGAATGGTTTTTAAAAAGTCATATATATACACAATGGGATACTATTCTGCCATAATAAAGGGGGGAATCCTTGTGACAACATAAATGAACCTGGAGGACATTTTGCTAAGTGAAACAAGCCAGACATATAAAGACAAATACAATAAGGTCTCACTTATATATGAAATGCAAAAAATTCAAACTCACAGAACTGGAGAGCAGAACAGTGGTTCCCAGGGACTTAAGGGGTGGGGGAAATGAGGAGGTGTTGGTCAAAAGGTAGAAATTTTCGGTTATTAAGTTTAAAAAGTTTTGAGGATCTAGTGTATATCATGGTAGCTATGGTTAATAATACATTATTATCTACTTAAAACTTGCTAACAGAGTAGATCTTGTGTCCTCAACACACACACACACACACACACACACACACACACACACAAATGTGTGGTGGTGGTTGTGTTAGTCAATTTGATTGTAGTAATAATTACAACATATATGCATCTACTAAATCATCACATTGTACGCCTGGTGTATGCATAATGCTTGTCAATTATATACAGCTGAAAAAAATTATCCAACTCCACACTTTCTACAAGATACAGCTTTAGAATTAAAGATACAAGCTGATTGAAAGCAAAAGAATGAAAAAGTATATATCATGCAAATAGCAAACACAAGAAAGCTGGACTGGCTATTCTAATATCAGACAAAATAGAGTTTAAAACAAACATAAGTGATACTGGAGATAAAGCGGGTCATTTTCCAGTGATATAAATGTCAACTCATCGGGAAAGTACAGGACAGTATAACAATTATAAACATATATGCAGGTATTAGCAGAGCAGCAAAACATATGAAACAAAAATGGACATAAATGAAGGAAGAAATAATTCAAAAATAATAGTCGACTTTTTAAAAATTTTATTTATTTATTTACGTATTTATTTATTGAGAGGCAGGGTATCACTCTTTCACCCAGGCTGGAGTGCAGTGGTGCAACTGTAGTTCGCTGCAGCCTCAAACTCCCAGGCTCAAGGAATTTTCTTGCCTTAACCTCCTGAGCAGCTGGGACTATAGGCATCTGCTACCACGCCAAGCAATTTTTATAATTTTTTTTCTTTATTTTTTGTGGAGGCAGGGTCTTGCTATGTTGCCCAGCTGGTCTTGAACTCCTAGCCTTATGATATCCTCCCACTTTGGCCTCCCAAAATGTTGGGATTACAGGCATGAGCCACCATGCCCAGGCCAAAGACTTTACTGGATAAAAATAGATTTCAATAATAGACAAAAATAGATAGAATAACTAGACAGAATATCAACAAAGAAGTAGAAACATGAACAACGCTATATAGCACTTCATTCAACAATAGAATATACATTTTCTGTAAGTGCACAGGGAACATTCTCCAGGATAGACCGTATGCTACACCATAATAAAATTGCAATATATATAAAATGACATAAATAATTAATAAATAAGAATAAAGTATATTCTTTGACCACAATGGGATAAGATTAAAAATCAGTAGCAAAAATCAATTTCAGAAACTCACAAATATGTCAAAAGTAAGCACCACACCACCACAGTAATCAATGAGTCAACCAAACTGTGAGGAAATAATACTTTGACACTTTCATAATTCAAACTTTTGTTTTAATAAAAATAGTGGCAAAACATGTCAAAATTCATAGTATGCCTCCAAAGCAGTTTTTACAGTGAAATTTATCATTGCAAATGCTTGTGTTAAGGAAGAATAAAGATATCGAATCAATATCCTAAACTTCCAACTTAACACTCACAAAAGAAGAGCAAACTACACACATGGAAGGAAGTGAACTTTAAAGATTAGACCAGGAATTAATAAAATAGAGGATAGAAAAGCAAAAACAAAATTAATAAAATCAAAACTTTTGGTTTTACATTGACTCGGAAAAAAAGGGAAAATTAAATTACTAGAAAAATTAATTAAGGGAAGGCATTATTACAAACATTATAGAAATTAAAAATCCAAAGGAATACTATAAAAATCATATAATACTTAGATAAGATGAAGAAATTCCTAGAAAGATGCTAGCTACTGAACCTGACTTCAGTAAGTAGAAAATCTGAATGGACCTGTACAAATAAAGATATTGAATTAGTAATTAAAAAACAAAAATTACCAAAATAGATGAGTTCAGGTTTGGATTACAATCCAAGGTATAAAATAAATATCCAGAAGTCATTATTAATATAAATAAAGGATCGAGTAAATTAGAAGAAAGGGAAAAATCTCACACAATAATTTCAAGTAGATATCTGTCCTCATGGTTTCCCACTCTTTCAGTGTAGGCTTTGCAAAGTGACTTCCTTTAAAAAAGTACAGTATGAAAAGAGGGACTTTTAAAAAGAAAAAAGATTAAGTTGACAGTGGAGAAACATGACAAATACTACCCTAGTCATGAATAAAGTCATCATCAACAGTGATGTCATGTTGCTAATATGTATTATTGATATGATGCAATAAAATGGTATTATTCCTCTATGGTCTTATAACCTACTCTAATAATGAGAAAAGCATCAGAAAAATCCTGATAGAGGAACACTTTACAAACTGCCTGTTAGTAGTCCTCAAAAATGCCAAAGTAATTGAAGACAATGAAAGAAGACTGAGAAACTTTTACAATTAAGAGTAGTCTAAATAGACATGATGGCTAATGCAATGTTATATCCTGGATTGGATCTTGGAGTACAAGAAGAATACTAGGAGAAAAACTAAAAAAGTTCTGAATAATATGCAACTGTGGTTAATACATTACCATTGTTGATTCACCAATTGTCAAAAGTGTATTCTACTGATGTAAGATGGTAACAATAGGGGAAATTGAGTGCAGGATATTTGAGAACTCTGTACCATATTTAACTTTTTCTGTAAATGTAAAACAACTGAAAATAAGGTTACTTTAAAAGAAAAGCATGGTTAATAATGCAAAGGAAAATGGAAGCTTAATCAAGATGTGAATGTTGAATTTAGTAAAAAGTAGAGCACTAGAAACATCATAAACTGCAAATCAGTGGAATCATGAAGATGAAAATCAGACCACAGCAGATTCAGGTTTGAGAGGGAGGTGATGAAGTTGAACTAAAGAGTATATACAATTCTTTGAGGATACTTTCTTGTGCTATATAAATTAAAAACGGATATTTCAGCTGATCATTTTAATTGAAAACAAAGCCTTCTTAGCATAACATCTCAGAATTTTCTAGTAATTAAAATCTGTATCTATATGAATCTTATAATTAAAGATGAAGACTATAATCTCTAAAAAACATGTTAAGCATTTCAGTGCAGAATGCCATTGGGAACACAGAAAAGGATGATCAGGACAGTGTGTGTACAGGAACATGGGAAATAAACTGTATTCCTTCTTGCTCAGCTTATAAGGAACACATTTTAAGGTGTAGAATGACTTGAGACTGTCATAAATAATTGAGAAATGTACTGAAAACCCAGGTAGAAAAAATAGACAGCAGTCTAGATCTCATAGGTTCTCTACTCCTCATAGAAAGCCCTCTGTAGATTCCTACATACAAAATCATCACTGTTTCTGCTTTATTCCAATCGGTCCAATTAATTTGGTCCAACGTTTCTTTATTCTACACTTCTAAAAGTCTGCTAAGTTTTATTCGTTCATCATCTCTTTTTGGTATGAGGTTCTCCTGCTGGAAATATTTTTTTTCCCTGAACAGAGGATCACAACTTGCATTTAAATTTTTTTATATTAGGTTAAAAGGCATAGGAAAACTTTTGAAATCTAAATCTTTCTCAGATATATTGAGGACCTTCACAGTGTACAATGAATAACTTCACCGTAAAATAGAACCACACTTTTATTCTCTATATTGGAAAATATACAGATTTATAATTATTTAGGTTTAGGTCTAGTATCTTAAAGTCAAAATATCATTGGTAACATGTGAATTTAAAATTCAACATTATATGAAATCTTCTCACAAATATATGGGGAATGGAGGGAAAGTTATGTTTCAGAATCTCTGTCATCTACACTTCATGTTTCTTGAATTTATTGAAGATTCTGTCACGAATCTGCTTGGTCTTAACACTGTAGACAACGGGGTTCATGAGAGGTGGAACCAGCAAGTAGACATTGGCCATCAGCACATGGACAATTGAGGAAGCATTCTGTCCATAGCGATGGATCATAGATAGCCCAATCATTGGTGTATAGAAGGTGAGTACAGCACAGATGTGGGAGATGCAAGTATTGAGGGCTCTCACTCTCTCTGCCTTGGAGGCTATACTCAACACTGTGCCCAGGATGAGGACATAGGAGAGGAGGAGAAGCACTGAATCAAGTCCCATGGAACAGATGACCACCATGAGGCCATAGATGCTGCTGACTCGACAGTTGGATACAGTCGTCTTTATGAGGTCCTGGTGCAGGCAGAAGGGGTAGGACAGAATATTGACATCATGATATTGAAGCCTCTTCAAGAGGAAAGAAGCTGGAAAGACCAGAGCCAAGGCCCTTCCAGCAATTGCCAACCCAATCCCAATGATTACATCATTGGTTAGGATGGCTGCATAGCGCAAGGGTTCTCAGATTGCTATAAAGCAGTCAAAGGCCATAGCCAGGAGTACAGCTGACTCAATAATCGAGAAAACATGAATGAAGTACATTTGGACCAGACAAGCATTGAAGGAGATCTCCCGGGCATGGAACCAGAAGACACTGAACATGGTAGGTAAGGTAGTGTTAGATAGGCCCAGGTCAGTGAATGCCAGCATTGACAGAAAGTAATACATCGGTTGGTGGAGGGAAGACTCAGTTCTGATAATGAAGAGGATGCTAATGTTCCCGGCAATTGAGGTGGCATAAACCAAGAAGATGGGCAGGGAAATCAAGTCATATCTGCTTTCAAGGCCTGAGAGGCCCGTTAGGAGGAAGCGAGGGTATAAGGCAGAAGTATTGAAGACAGACATTGTGCTAATGGATGAACCTAGAGTCTAGGTGAGGAAACAAGAATATGGAAAATTAGGGTAAAAGTCAAAATTGTAGCAAGAAACAATACTTTAACTTATGCTGCTCTGTGTTTAATGATTTTGATCGTGTCTGTGCTCATTATATTTAATTACCCCACCGGTTATTTATTATTTTACCGATTAATTTAGTTTTCTTCACTGCATTTATTGAGTTTTTTGTTTGTTTGTTTGTTTGTTTTTTTAGATGGAGTCTCGTTCTGTCACCAGGCTAGAGCGCAGTGATGTGATCTCGGCTCACTGTCACCTCCACCTCTGGGGTTCAAGTGATTCTCCTGCCTTAGCCTCCTGACTAGCTGGGACTATAGACGTGCGCCACCATGCCTAGCTAATTTTTATATTTTTAGTAGAGACAATGTTTCACCATGTTGGCCAGGATGGTCTCAATCCCTTGGCTTCGTGATCCCCCCACCTCAGCCTTCCAAAGTGCTTGGATTACAAGATTATTTTTTTAGAGATGAGATCTTGCTATGTTGCCCAGGCTAGCATCGAACTCCTGTTCTCAAGCAATCCTCCCAACTCAGCCTTCTGAGTAGCTAGAACTACAGGTGCACGCCACTGAATATGAAAACATATTTTATTAAAGGAAATCTGGTAGTGTTAAAAAATAGAGAAATATATAAGAAATGCCATCAAATATGTACAAACTAGTGGACAGACAGCTAAAGTTAAAATTAAAAGTTAAACATTTTGAAGTTGATATTTAAAAAAAAACATGATTTAAAACACAGAAGAGACAACTAACCCCATCCAGGCAGGTCAGGGAAGATTTACTGAAGGAGATTCTTAAATTAGGTCTCAAATGACAAATACTAGGGGGATGGTATAAAAGGGCTGTGATGTACATCCTGTACTGATTAAAATCCATGTAAATACAGTAAGGCATTGGAGAGTATTACAAATGTAAGTAGCTACAATTGAGTAAAGCTATAGGATAGATGGCTCTTCATATGGTTCTTGAAGCTAAGGTTAAAAAGAAATGAACCCGAATTTCTGAAGGAACTTGTGTGTAAATATGAGAAGCACGGATATAATCTTAGAGGACACAAGGCCCTAATTGTAACAATAAACAACTTGACCAGATTTATAATATATGTATGTCAACATACAATCAATGTTAACAGTGGTCTAAAGGCTGACAAGAGAGAAGGTAGGTAAACCTGTTAGGAGACTATTGTAGTCATTAAAAGAAGTGGATGAAAGTGAAATCTAACAGTGGGTATTATGAGGAATGAATAGGTATGAAATTTACATGGGAAGAAAAAATAACATCCGTAATGTGGATCATCATATGGTAAGAGTGAGAAAAAGAAAGAAATCCAGAATAGGTTTATTTATTTGATAATCTTTTTCCTGTCATTTATTAAAACAAACAAAGACCTGCCTAGAAATTTGGTGAAGCCAGTGGGCCAGATAATTCCTGTTTGGTTATGATAAATTTGAGGTGTGTGGAAGAGATAGTGATAAGTTTTTCTATAAAAACAAAGAAAGAACACAATGCCAAGTTATAGAAAGAGAATAAAAGATTTATGTGCTCAGGGCTCAGTTACCACAATACATCAGATGAGCTGTAGGAAATAGGCAGATATCACCATGAACTGGAGAAGATAGGCATTACAGCCAAAGCCCTAGAGACCTGCTACTTAGCTTCATAATGGCCACCCCATTCCAGTTACTCTGGGCACAAAACATCAAGAAAATGTTTATCTAGCGTATTTGATTTCAAAGTTTTTCCAAAATTTACATGATCCATTTTCCAAACTACCCTTCTCCACAAATACAATCACACTTCATTGTTTCCCCTAATAGACATAATTAATTATAAAATAACTAATTCTGTATCATTCTACAGAGATGACAAGTATTGTGCAATCTGGTATACTTTTGATGAGCAGATACAAAATGAAGAACAGAGGAGAGTTATTTTACATATTCTCATCCTACATTTAGTGATTTATATACTATACTAGTTATAGAAAATAACAGTCTTTATACACCTCCTTCACTTTCCCAGATTTATATGTTATAAACTTCTGGTCTGCTTCATCATTGAATGCTAACTATGTCATCACTTTGGCACTCTCACGTAATTATTTTTTCTTTCTTGATACCCACCATCAAATCTTTCAGTGGTCTTCAGCGTCTCTATCTTGCCTAGGCATGCCAGGTCTTCCCTCTTAAATAACTCTTCCCCATTTATTTTTATGAAAGTGCCTGGCTTAGGGTAGTCATAATCTGACTTCTCTGTGTAGACACAGGCACTCAACTCTCAGTAGCTACATCTCTAGATTCAGAGAAAGTCAGATGACAACTGTTATTTACTACCTATTTGGACAGGTTACTAAACCCCTTTGAGTATAAACAAACTGGCAATTGTATTACTTTATATAATACTTAAGAGATTCTAGCAAACGTATGTAAAGCGCCTGGAACAATATCTAAGATTTAGGAGATACTTTGGACTTAATGGAAGCAAATTGTTAATTAAGATGCTGAAGTAGCCATGCTCTTAGGCATATCAGCCAAACACAGCAGTGATGCAAAAGCAGGGGCTGTCTGGAGTGCCCAAGTTATCACATGTGAAGATATTACCTCTCATGGCTTCTCTTAAGAATTATCTTATACAAACTAGTGGACAGAGGGCTAAAATTAAGATTCCTTTTTTCCCTCTTAATATTGTTAAGTGTGTATGCTATATGTAACAGCAAGATACAGGAGGCACTCAAATCATCATCAACTTTATGATCATCAACTTCATCAGTTTTAACATTACAGTTTTTAGTTAATATCGGGGAGTAATATTTAGAGAAAACAGGGATTTCAATACATAGGTTTCCACTATAGGTGTTACATATGCCTAGAAGTGAGTTTGCAATGGTAATCCCTTCCCAGAGCTCTTCTGAGCAACTTTTGAAGAGATTAGTCTGACGCCTTTGGAGGAAGGTAAATCTATATCTCTGACCTATTCTAGAGCAGTGATTTCACATGGGTAGAAGTCATTCCTACTTTTTGACCTTTATTTACACTTCCTGGATTCTTCAAATATATAATGTAGTAATCTCTTAACAATTTTTCTCACCTCAAAGACTTCCTGCAGGCACACCTGAGCCCTCAAGTGCAGACAGCCTCACCCTACTGCACGTTGGCTTGGTTTCCAGTCTGTCAAGCTTGGAGACTGCTTGTAGGTTAAGAAAGCCACTGAAGATGGGCATAGAAGAAGAATAAAATACACAGGGTATTCTAAGGCAGATAGTTCTTCAAGGGAAGCATAGATGTTCTGAGTAAGGCATCAGTCTCTCCCTCAGTAACTCCGAAGCTGAGATAAAGCTTTTTTGCCTTTGACATTCTTGACTTTACCCAGCTGTGTGCTTTATTGGCACTACTGTGCTTTAACTACTCTGGCCTGTTGCCCATCTTGACTAGTCCGTTCCCCCTGGATCCCCCTTTTTTTTTTTTTTTTTTTTTGTCATTACAACCTCTAGGGGGAATAACTAACATCAGTGCTGAAAGAGCTATTTCTCCTGCTCGAGGACAAGCGATGGTCATGCCAACTTCCCAATCCAGGAGTCCAGATTATGAAGTAATTGAGAAGTATTCTGAGGATCACGTGATAAAGATGAAAAAAATGGGCTTAGTCGATCAGAATGACGTATTAAAAAAGTTTGTGCTCTAAGTAACCAGATACAACATTTACTAGCTGTTGTATGCTGAGAAAATTATTCTGTATTTAGGTCAAATTTTTTGCAACGATACACTACGACATACATTGTTGAACTGTTGTAAAAAATATAAAATCGTGTGTAAAGTAGAAATTCATTGCTCAAAAGTCATGCTTTTGATAGCACTTATAAATTATAAAGGGGTATGGGATCCGTATGCAGTTGGTCTATAATACTCAATTCTTTTACCAGCCACTGGACAGAAGGGTAAACATTCTACCATCATCATCCTGCAACAACTGCTACTTGCACTGGCCCACAAATCTGCCCCTGAGCATTCAATAAAAGAAAAAATGAAGATGTGATACGATACAAAAAGTTACAGTCCCTTATTGTCACTATCTAGCAAAGACATAAATCCCTCCAAAGCATAATTGTAAAGGGCATCTTATCTATTCATTCAAAAATTACACAGGTAATAGAGATGATCATGGAGAACAGGTTTGGCAAATCTCCTTCAATTTAGATTGAAATCCAACACTTTGCTTGTCCTCTTTCTCAATTGCACGTCACATTTTGCCACTAAAAAATGTATCTCCGTTATGCCATTCATGTTTCTTGATGCTTTTTTTCTAATTTTTTCAAAACTCATGATGTAATTAATCAATATGTTTCTATCCACAATATAAACTGCCTCTAAGATTCATCATTTTTGTTTCCATTTTCTTCAATGCCAGATCAATTCAAGTCATTTCCAATAAAATCTTGATTCAGGAGAAAATGACTTTATAGTGGTTTTTAGGGATACCACAGCTGCCTCATACAACACATTTTCTTATCAGTCTATCAAATTTGACTTTTCTAGCATTTTATGTTATGGTATTTTCCTTCTCAAAAGTCTTTAATGTTTTCACACACTTTTATTAGATTTTTCTAATATTTACAATAGACCACTATTATAATAGAATTAATGGCCGAAACACCAAACACACATCAATCAATCAATCCTTAGCAATTATGTTTAGAGGAAACTTCACATAGTCATTCCACTGTGTGTGACTATAAGTAGGCCCCATTAACATCTAACATTTTACAGAAATCAAGCATTATGGAAACTTGTGTAATATAGTTTAACCCGGCCTTTTCAAACATATTTTATACAGACAGCATTTATTAACATCTGAAATTTGTGTTCTGCAGAGATCAATTTGGAAATGAATGCCTAGAAAATGTTTGGCTTAAGGCAGTGATTTTCAAGAAGAAGGATTTTTTGCCTCAAAGGGGTGTTTGACAATGTCTGGGGCCATTTTCAGTTGTTGTAATTGGGAAAGTGTTACTGGCATGTCATGTGTAGTTGCCCAGGATACTTCTAAACATTCTACAATGTGCAGGACAGCGACTCACAACAGAGACTCAGCCAGTCCCTGGCAATAGTGCCAATGTTGAAAAACCCTGTTTTAAGGAGAGAAAAACAAAACTACACCAAAAATTAAAATTCTGTATTTAAATCTGTGGGTAGTATGAAGGCCAAGCACATTAACTCTGGACCAACTAGAGTAAAGAACACTGTAGATCCGGCCGGGCGCGGTGGCTCAAGCCTGTAATCCCAGCACTTTGGGAGGCCGAGGAGGGCGGATCATGAGGTCAGAAGTTCAAGACCAGCCTGGCCAACATAGTGAAACCCCGTCTCTACTAAAAATACAAAAAATTAGCCAAGTGTGGTGGTGTGCGCCTGTAATCTCAGCTACTCGAGAGGCTGAGGCAGGAGAATCGTGTGAACCCGGGAGGCGGAAGTTGCATTGAGCCGAGATTGCGCCATTGCACTCCAGCCTGGGTGACAGTGCGAGGCCCCTTCCAAAAAAAAAAAAAAAAAAAAAAAAAAAAGAACACTGTAGATAGAGAGGTTCCTTACCTTTGAATTCCAATTCTGGCACTTAACTATCTGTGTGACTAAGAAAACTACTTAACGTCTTTTCACTTCTTTTTCTTTGTTTATGAAATGAGTTTCATAATAATTTTAAGCAACAGGATTTTTGTAAATATTCGATGTGTTAATAAATGTATAACATTTAGAATGTATTAAATAATCAATAACAGATAATCAAAAATTGATTCCCTTTTCCTTTAATACAGGGTTGTTTTAAAATTAGTTATTATTAGTATTTTGTGGGTGTGCCAATTTTGTGACCCCATATTTTGAATCCTGAACTGAAACTTCTCTCAAAGACATTGACAAGTATTTTAAAGGGTGCATCAAATTTTATAGCTATTAAATAATTCAATCATAAGATTACTTTCTCTGGATCCAAACTCATGAGTATTAAAGAGCTTTTAACCATGACTTGGATTTCCATGCATATATCTTTTAAGACAGCAAACATTTTTCCCTTGGGAAATGTGTGTCTAAGTTACATTTCACACATTAATTTAATATGCGGGCATTCTGAAATATGCATTTTTTTCAAATAAACTTGGGTTTTGAGATTTAGCTTTCTTGGCTTTGAAAAGGTAAAACAACTACAAGAAAATATGAACAAGAAAAGCCATTGACTATCGGTCTAATAATATTTTGCCCCTTATTTTCACCTCCATCGAGTTGAATAAGACTTAGTTTAAATGGTAATTTACTCTTTCTTCTTGAAGATTTATCACTGATTCTATATTCCTAGGGTATCATGATAACACCATTCTCCCAAATCTCATTCAATCCCATTATTTTTTATCAATTTTTATTATATAATTATATTAATGGATCTCTTAGTAAAAATTTATAAACCTTGTTGACTAAGCTGAATGAGAAAACAAACAATTATATGTAACATTTAAGAGTAAGATTTCTTTATCAATAAAAATGATTGAAGTGTATTAAAATGGATACATTGAGATATTTCTTTTTTAGATTTTAATGTCATCCACACTTTTAAAATATCTTGTTATTAATTCATAGTGTAAGAAAGAGTAAGCTAATGTTTGTGTGTGTTTGTGTGTGTGTGTGATCTGAGAAGCTCTTGTGTGGTCACAGAAAGACAACATCATCATTAAGCCCAATTCAGAGTTCATGTGGAGGATGCATGCAAGTTGGCATGTTAATGGAGAGTGGCATGGTTTAAGATGTGCAAGTCTAATTACTAATTGGGAATTGTTTAAATTTTATATACTAATACTGAACATTTCTTAAGGCACACTCTTAGTTATAGAAATGTGCCATCTTTGTGAAACCACCTTTGCAAAAATTATACAGTGGCAACGTTATGGCAGCGAAAGAGATCTGATTTAACCAACCCCCATCTTGCCTTTATTCTTCAGACTTCCCTTAATCATTCCTGGGCTTGGGTCAAGCTAACTTTGGAAGACATTTATAGTTAAAATAATAATAGCCCTTCCCCAAAACTCAACCACCTTTGTAAAGTTAATGAGAGATCACTAGGCTAGGAGGATAGAGGAGCCGGAATTCTGCTAAAGTGTAGACATAAACAATTGCCAGCCATTATTCTGGAGGTCGCAAGACTTACGACTTCCTTAATTACTCTTGCAGATAACATCACTATTATACAACCTAGAATTGGCCTTTTGAGATATCTTTTCAGGCTTTTTGCATGTGTGATGACCAGTGGCTCCTACATGTGCCAATCACTCCTGTGGCCCCACCCAGAAATGACTCAGGCTTATGAGGACCATTTCTCATACCCCTGTGATTGCACTCCCAACCAATCAGCAGCAGGCACCCATTGCTTAGCCACCCCTCCTCTTCCTCCAAACTACCTTTGAAAAACCCTAGCCTCCAAATTCTTAGGAAGGCTGATTTAAGTAATAATAAAACTTTGAACTTCTATTTAGCTGGCTCTCTATGTAAAACTCTTTCTCCCTTGCAATCCCCTGCTTCAATAAATCAGCTCTATCTGGGCAGCAGGCAAGAAGAGCCCATTGGATGCAATGTTACATTCGCTGAATCTGTTCGTTTATTGAGACATAATATAGTCACAGGATTCAGTGCTATGGGGGGATAGAAACAGAAATTCTTTCCTGAAGGAGCTTTAGTTGAGCAAGACCAAACAAATAAAGCCTCATCATTACTTACAGACAATATTGCTGAACTGTATGCAAAATACTCTCACTACAAGTGATGAGAATCAATAAGTTAATTGATCAGGGTAGGTAGATATCTTTTTTATATCCAAAAAACATATGCTTATATTCAAAAGCACATAGAAATTGAAATTGAAAATATAATATTTATAATGGTGTTGAAAATACAGAGACCTAAAAACCTAGTAAAAGAAGTACAAGACTTCTAAACTTAAAATTTCAAATACTATTGAGAGAAATTTAAGACACTTTTTTTCAATCAAGGGATGTACTCTGTTCACAGATTAGAAGACTTCATATAGTAAGAGTGGCTAATCACATTAAATCAGGTTACAAATTGAGTTTAGAATTTTGTAGAAATTTAATACCTTATATAAAACTTAATATAGAAACACAAATACTGCATTAGTTCATTTTCTTACTGTTATAAAGAACTACCCTAGACTGGGTAATTTATAAAGGAAAGAGTTTCAATTGACTCACAGTTTAATTATGGCAGGAGGCTAAGGGGAAGCAAGGTACCTTCTTCACAAGGTGGCAGAAAGAAGAAGTGCTGAGCAAAGGAGAAAGAGCCCCTTATATAACCATCAGATCTTACGAGAACTCATTCACTATCATGAGAACTACCTGTGGCAAACTGCACTCATGATTCAATTACCTTCACCTGTTCTCTCCCTAGAGATGTGGGGATTATGGGGATTACAATTCAAGATGAGATTTGGGTGGGACATAAAGCCTAACAATATAATTCTGCCCTTGGTCCCTTCCAAATCTCATGTCCTATTCACATTTTAAAACCAATCATGCCTTCCCAACAGTCCCACAAAGTCTTAGTTCATTCCAGCATTAACCCAAAATTTCAAGTCCAAAGTCTCATCTGAGGCAAGGCAGGATCCTTCCACCCATGAGCCTGTAAAATCAGAAGCAAGTTAGTTACTTCCTAGATAAAATGGGGGTAGAGGCATTAAGTAAATATACTCATTACAAATGGGATAAATTGGCCAAAATAAAGGGGCTACAGGCCCTATGCAAATCTCAAATCCAACAAGGAAGTCATTAAACCTTAAAGTTTCAAAATGATCACTTTTGACTCCCACTCCACTCCTGGTACAAATTTACTGTATTAGTTCATTTTCATTCTGCTATAAAGAACTGCCTGAGACTGGTTAAGTTATAAAGGAAAGAGGTTTAATTGGCTCACAATTCGGCATGGCTGGGGAGGCCTCAGCAAACTTACAATCATGTCAGAAGGGGAAGGGCAAGGAAGGCACCTTCTTCACAAGGTAGCAGGAAGGAGAAGTGCCAAGCAAAGGGTAAGGAGCTTCTTATAAAACTATCACATCTTGTGAGAACTCACTCACTATCACAAGAACTGCATGGGGGAAACAGCACCCATGATTCAATTACCTCCACCTGGTCTCTCCCTTGACATGTGATGATTATGGGGATAATGGGAATTACAATTCAAGTTGAGATTTGAGTGGGAACAAAAAACCTAACCATATCAAATACCAACATAGTTAAGGGCATTTGAACAAGTAACCCTCATACTGTTGGGCTCACACTACCTTATAACAAAACCTACCATAAAATCATAATTAACAACAGTCATGGATTAGCAGAATGATAGAAAATTATGTCCAATGGAACAGAAGAGAAATATGAGAAATAGACCCAAATATATACATTTTCACCATATGACAATGGAAGCACTGTGGTACAGGGGATGAATAATGCTTTATTCAATAGATGATTGAAAACCAAAATGAGTCACTGAGGCATAAGTCTCAATCACTGAAGTTTATTAAGCCAGGTTTAGGGCACTTCTGGGAAAAACAAAAGCCACCGACACATCTGTGGCTATTTCCACAAAGGTTTTCAGGACATTGTGTATTTATCCATTTCCTTAAAAGGGGGAAGGGGGAGGCATGTAGGTTGGGCAGTAGGGGAAATAGTTACATTCCTGAGACTTCAGTTAGTGTTCAGTAAATCTACATTTTACGTAAGATAAGGTGAATGTCTGAAGCGAGAAAGGGAGTAAAGGAAGACTCAATCATGTAGTCGTCTCTGGGTAGGTGAAGAAAATGAATCTTGACTTTTCTGCACCTGGGAAGATAAACTTGTAAGTGACATAATCGGTGTGGAGTTTTAGGAGCTAGACCTGGATTGTGGACCTAAATTTACAACTAGCGTGTCCTTGTTTATGGGAGGCAAGCAAAGAATTTACTTATGAATGATCTGTGGGTAGCCCTTCCCAGATGCCTGAGGCCATTTACCTTTCCAGTCTGGCTGATATATAATGTTAGTAACAGTTATTCATGTGGAAGAGAGTGTTGCAATGATTCAGCTTCAGGACTTAGTCTTTACTTCTGCACAAGTTTGGGGGGTCCTTCAATTTTTATTTTCTTTTACATAGTTCTGACTGAACTATGTATTCATATCAAAAAATATGCCTTGACCTTACCTCATCATTCATAAAAATAAATTCTACATGTGTTGTATTTAGAAATATCAAAAGGAAAGCCTTACAACTTTCAAAAATTACACAGAAGGACATCATTGATAATATCAGCAAATGTGTCAGTTATTTATTTATTGTCCCAGTTTCAAATATAGACTTCATTGCTTACTCTGCAACAATGGAACTGGGCTCAATGGACATTTTTTCCTTCACAGATTCATGATGTTAAACTTGGCCAGCAGAGGGTGCCGCAGGGACACTTGTAAGAGAAGTTCGTGTGTACTTCTCTTTGATTATTCTCTCTCTTCTACCAGAGGCGTGTAATGAGAAATATTTAGTAATACTCATCCTATCAAATTTCAACAATACCCATATGGCTAGACTCTTACTGAGTCTTGCAGTTACTCTAGGGACTGGCTTCCCAAATAACCTATTTGGACCCTGGAGGGGTGTTTCCAGCTTGTCAGTCCAAACTGTGATTTGCTGCCCACCTGTACTTCAAAGGGGGGTTATCATTTGCTTGCCAATGCCAACTATAGTTCCCTGCCTACAAGCCTCAGCTCACCTGGTGCTTCCTACTACTCAGTCCTGAAAAGGAATCTTAGTCTCTCAGCCTTGGTTCACCTATACCCCACAGAAGTGTCTTTCTAAACACATGCAATGTAATGACCTTTTCTGGCATCCAGGATGCTAAGACTATGCATTCTCAAATGAAGTTTCAACCTCGGGCTTGGGGAGTACCTTCCCCATTTTCCAAGTTTGTTTTTTCTTTCAATATTCTCTCTTAGCTCTAGGGTATTACTCAGCGTTGTCTTTACCTTCTTTAAAGTTGATTTCCTTATGAAATTAATAAGTATTTGTATTTATAAACTCTATTCAAATTACTGTGTGATTTTTGTCTTCTTACTGGATCCTGAATGACAGAATAGGCAAATATCTCCTTAAAAATACACAAAAGCACTAAACATAAAAGCAAATTTATAAGTTGGACTTAATTAAAATTAAGAACATTTCTAGTCATCAGACATACTATTAAGAAAGTACATAGATTGTAGAAGATGGTTGTATACATACATCTCACAATGTCAACTTGAATTATAGGTTATTTTTAGTTCTCCAGGCTTACACACTGTGTTTGATCTTCCGCTTGAAACTTAAGAGATTTAAAAACCATGGATATTTGCTCTTGAATTCTCATCCTGTTTCATCTGCCTGAAAAAAAGGAATCCTTGAGAATTTTATTTTATCTTTCTATGTTACAGGTAGTTAGGCATGAGTGGGGCAGGAAAGGGCTCTAGCTTACCCACTAGTAATGTTAGGCAATGGTTGGGCAATTATCACATTGCCTCTCTAAAAGTGATAAATTGGCAGCCTGCGCCAGGGAGAGGCCATTTCCTGATGGTCCACACCTGTTGCACTAAACTGCTAATAGAATGCAGATGCCAAAAGGAAGTAACTTTCTAGACATGTGCATTAAGAGACAAAATGAAGGAGTATGACCTTCTGAGGGCACACCACCGAGAAAGGGAAGAAAGCCTCAGATGGGCACGTGTACAACTTCCTAAACACACTGTGCATGCTCACTTCCTAAGGGTAAGGAGGGCACTGTGCATGTGGGTAGCCCACTCTAAGGGAAGGATCACGGGAAAGGCGCCAGACTATAAGGTCCTAGGATTAAGGTTAAACACAGCACTTGTCCTTCAATTTACCCTTGGGTCTCTTCCAAGCGTACTTTCCTTTTTTCCTCTTCTAAAGCATTTTTAAATAAACTTCCACTCCTGCTCGAAACTTGCCTTGATCTCTTTCTCTGCCTTATGCCCCTCAGTCAATTTCTTTCTTCTGAGGAGGCAAAAATTGAGGTTGCTGCAGACCCGTATGGATTTGCCACTGGTAACTTGAATACCTTCCACCAGTAATATATTTGATGTCATGAGACTTGGATATTAGCCACCCCTAACACCTTTACGTCACAGGTTTTCTGAGAACTTCTCATTTCAGGGTTCTCTGGGAAGCAGACTTTGAGGTAAAATTTAGTGTGCAGTTTGTTTAATAAGAGAATCCCTGGGATAATCATCTTAAATGAAAAGGAATGAAAGTGGGTAGGATTGGGCAGAGGGAAAAGTTGACCTGTGAATCAGGCCTGAAGATAGCCTTGTCCAACATCACGGGGAGTCCTGGATATAAAATTGCCCAGTGAAATTCACTGGGCTGAAGGGGCCAGACCTTTCCAACTTTCTACATTAGTCATTGAATGTGTCAGTGGATGACCCCAGGCAAGGCTCATTTCTCCAGCTGAGGCAATTCCTGAAAAGGTAAAAAAAAAAAAATTGAAGGCTTTCTACTGGACTTACTGCCAGCAGCTGGGGCTACAAGTCTTTCATTGAAATGGGGCTGAAACTACATATCTTTGTCCATCATAGCCCATGTCAGAGCCCTTTTTTTGTGGGAGGAAATGCAAAATGCTTTGGGTAAGTTTTAAGTTAGACTGAAGAACGTTGCTAACACATACTCTTTCTAACCTCTTTGCTTTCTTCATGTTACCTCCTCTTTCTAGAATACCTTTCCCAGTGATGTGTTGGTAAGTGTTTAACCACCTCCTCTCTAAGAAAAAATTTCAAGTCCTGATATATAATGTTTACCAATTTCTGTGGTTTAAATACTTCCATCATAACCAATTTCATTAACCTATATGACATTACAGAGCACAAAAGCAGAACAAGATATGCACAATTGTCTCTTATGTGCCAGCTTTGGTACGCCACTTTATTTCCAACTGTGTTCAACTGGTCAAGAATGAATTTGACTCACAATGCACAGTGAAAGTGTCAACTACTCTGATTACTGATTCTTAAATCCTCAAGTGAAATTGACCACTTATTAATATATCAATATTATAAAAGGTACCTGTTCCAATAATACCATTGATTACACTTAATTTTACTAACCTTTTATCTATGTATCTTCACTATTAAACATTCATTATTTAACATTAACGTTATGCATTTTGCTGTTTATATATCCACAGTACTAACAGCAATAACTATAATAGTTATTTCAATTATTTAATGAGTACTCATGATTGTTGGGGAAGACCAGCTGTATAGTGCTGTGATAAGGTAATAGACATGGCCCCATATTCAAAAAGTGTGCTATACAGCTGAAAAGAAAGTGAATTTATATGAAATAATAAAATATCACCCATAAAAACATATCTGTAGTTCATTCTAGTGAAAAAGAAAAAAGTAATGGGTTATCAAAAATAAATTGATTAAAAACACAATACTACAGATCCACACAGGCATGTAGAACAAGAGGTAAAAGTATTATTAAAAGATGAGGGTTGAGATTGTGCACAACTCTTAACCCATTCACAAATTAAGACACAAAATCCTGTCCTATAGTATTGAACAGAGTCAACACAATTGCCCAGATGGTTAGACATGTACTGTCAGGCTTTCTTCAACAATTCCTGTAACTGAGTACCCCATTTTCTTTAAAATATATATGTATATTTTACAATTTTTCCCCTTTTCCGTCACCTCTTATTTTGCTCTTTAGTAATGCAATTACGACCTTTACATTCCTTTCTTTCCACTGGCCAAACCACCTGCAAGCACGACTTCCTTATATTACTCTACGTTTTCTTAGAAGTTCCATAGGCCAGCTGGTCTAGGGAGCTCACGCCTGTAATCCCAGCACTTTGGGAGGCCAAAGTGGGCAGATCACCTGAGGTCAGGAGTTCGAGTCCAGCCTGCCCAACATGGTGAAACCCCGCATCTACTAAAAATACAAAAATTAGCTGGGGATGGTGGCGCAGACCTGTCATCCCAGCTATTCGGGAGGCTGGGGCAGGAGAATTGCTTGAACCTAGGAGGCGAAGGTTGCAGTGAGCAGAGATCACGCCATTGCACTTCCACCTGGGTGACAGAGCAAGACTCAGTCTCAAAAGAAAAAGAAAGAAAAAGAAGTTCCATAGACCAAGTCTTAAAACAAACCAAGCACCCTACCAAATTCTCCCCCACTGGCCAGACTACTGGATGACCCACCAGATGACCCAAGATAAACATCCGTGAGCAAGCCTTATAGACCCCACAAGTCTATGTGCCTTCTGCATGGCCTGCATACCAAAATTTCTCTTATTAAAACCCTGCTTTCTGCCCAGAATGCTGAAGTGTCTCCTTTCAGTACAAATCTGGCCCTTTCTCATCACTAAGCTCTGGAATAGTAACATTCTTCTTACCACCTTCATTCTTGTTATATGATTTTGCAAGTGGCATCAACTGAAACTATATTTGGTAACACTCCCATGTATCTAACTCAGTATTTGCTGGCAAATTGAGGAAGCTGATAGATCTAGAATAGCAATGAGAGAAAGGACACATCACTAAGTGATGAGATTAGAACTTGTACATAGCAAATGGCCACAGCAGCAGGTCAAAATCCTGTCAGGAACTCAAGTTCCAAACTTGCCCTAAGGACTCAAATTTTTCATAAACAGTTATGACATTGTAGCATGAACAACAAAATACGTGCAGCAGTACTAGTAAAAGAGATAGAGATTGATTTCTGAGTTTTAGATAATTAACATGAGAAACAATATAAACACAGCTACATTTAAGAAGGAAAATACTGTTATCATTAACAACAATGACAACTTAATAACATTAATAATTTTGTATAGTTTTCAAAAAACTTGACTTAGCACATACATTTTCTATTATAAGTCTTGTAATGACCTGGGGACAACGTAAGGCCATAGTTGTCACAATTTGTCCAAAAAAATCCTGAGTTTCATATTGGTTAAAGATTAACTGAAATTACATGTATAAGAAGTGAAAGAATTAGGATTTTAACCAGATGAGCAACACCCAGATATTTTACTTTTCATATACTAAAACAGCTTCCATGAGATTTTCAGTGGAAAAGTTGGAGGACAGAGGTTACTTAAAACCTCCTCCTTAGGACAAACTTGTGGAGAATTCCTAGACGAATCTGCTTTGTTCTGACACTATAGACAATAGGGTTAAGGACTGGGGGAAGAAGAAGGTAGATGTCTGCCATGAGGATGTGGACTATGGGAGACAGATGCTTCCCAAAGCGATGGACCATTGACACCCCAATAACTGGCACAAAGAAGATAAGCACCACACAGATATGGGATACACATGTGTTGAGTGCCTTTAGCTGCTCTTCACGAGATGCAATATCCAGCACAGTATTAAGAATCAGAACATAAGAAAGAAGTATGAAGATTGAATCCACACCTAGTGTGGCAATGACTACACAAAGCCCATAAATACTGTTGGTCCTGGCATCTGTACAGGATAATCTTAGAACATCCTGGTGCAAACAGAAGGCGTGAGAGAGGGCATTGCCATGGCAGTAGTGATAGTGTCTCAGTAGCAAAGGTGTGGGAAGTACAACTCCCAAGCTTCGTAGCAAACAGGCCAAACCAATTTTGCCAATTACACTGTTGGTGAGGATGGTGGGGTAGTGCAGTGGATGGCAGATAGCAACAAAACGGTCAAAGGCCATGGCCAGCAACACTGAGGACTCCAGGAATGTGAATGTGTGGATGAAGAACAGCTGAGCATAGCAAGCACTTGCCTGGATCTCTGGAGCATCCAACCATAACACAGCAAGCATGGTGGGAAGTGTAGACAGGGACATCCCCAGGTCATTCACTGCTAAGATGGAAATAAAGTAATACATGGGCTGATGGAGAGAGGATTCTATCCAAATGACAGACAGGATGGTAACATTACCCATAAATGCTACCAAATATGCAAGACAGAAGAGGATGGAGAGCCAAGAATGAACATACTCCAGTCCAGGAAAACCCCTCAGGATAAATATGGGCTCCACAGCATCACTGTTATTCCAGTCTCCCATAGTGACTTTGAGTAATTCAGCAAGTAGTGAGGAATGGTTCGTGTTTTCCTTCCTGATCCCTCAAAGTTATCTCTTTTGAGTACAAATAATGGAATGAGGACAAAAATACATCTTTCGTCTAACCTCACAGAGGAAGGAAGCTGGTATCTCTTGTCGGCCCTATGTAAAAAACATTTCCCAATATTAAGGAGCACAAATTCTGGAACAAAAATGTGGACTACACAAATATGGTCATCTCTGGCAAGAAATACGTTGGATTTGCATCAAAGACACTAAAGAATTTAAGCAACGTGAGAATAGAGAAAAAAGAACTTTTACTAATTATTATAAAGATGAAAATAGAGAAAAGTCAGAGTGAATGTCGATGGATTTGTATGAGTTTCTGGCCAATGTTCTTGAGTTAATCAGTTATTGCTTCTAGGCTATCTTTTCATTCATGACAATCGAATTGATCCCATGGACTCAACATAATTTCTATTCAGCTGCATTTTTATTTAAAGATTTATAATATTTAAACATTTTAAATATTTAATATTTTAATAATACAAGATAAATACCCCTATATGAAAAGAGAGCATGAACATAAGAAACAGAATCCATAATACCAGAATCCATAATCCCAGCATGCTTTATTGAGCTGCTATTTAACCAACACAGTTTTGAGCTGTTTAGTATAGCAACTATTCCTGACCTAAAAAAAAATTCACGGTAAAAAAACTATATATATAGTGTGTGAGTGTATATGCGTGTGTGTGTGTGTGTGTGTGTGTGTGTGTGTGTGTGTGTGTTTGTGAAATAAGAGTTTAAATAGTTTGAAAATAAATCTTTAGGCCATAACATCACAATATAACTACGAAAGTCCATTAAAGACATTTCCCTTTCTGCTCTTCCACAAAATGAGAACAATGCATTTAACAGTTATCTATTACATGTTTTCAGTAAAAGAGGTACTTTTCCACTTTATTTCTATTGATTTTTTTGATTGATTGATTTCTGTTTCCAAACGATGCTTTTAATATCATTTTTAAAAGATCATCAATCAAAATATTAAGTGGTTCTTAATTTTCTGACCCACTTGCACCTACTTCTGTGAACTCATGACAATCCAGAATTTAGGCCTTAAATATTCACTATCAGTGCCTCTTAGAAACAACCAAGCTCTTCTGAGTGTTTCAAAATATGATATTAACATCTGGCTTTACTTTCCCTCAGCAATTGTTATTGTAATAGCCTCCTTGCCTGTGCTGAACCAGTGTTGCCCTTGCTGTATCATACTGTGTTGATGGCACTTGGTACAGCAGCTGAGCATTATGAGATTATCTGCCCCTTCTGTTACCTAGGTCTTTATTTTAACCCTGTCTAGTTCCATTAACTGCCCCTGAGAAAATTATTTACTTACCTTGTCCCTTAGAGTCTGGGCCTCATAGACTTCAGCAACATCTCTCTGTAGCAACATCTCAGTAATTCCCTCAACCCTCCTTCTGGACCCTTAGTCTCTGACCTTTTGAAAGATTAAGATAAGACTTAGCCTCATCCTAGAGTAAAAATATTTCCAAATGTGGTCTCAAACTCGTATCACAAGGCTCCAGCTAGCTAGCTGTTTCTTTTTATTATCTCCATTATATTTAATAAAAAGCTTTATTTTAAAAATCCCTTGACTGATTCTTATCTCACTTTCATACCGTGAAGACTGAAAGTTCTTAGATGGCACAACTTAGAATTCCAAAGAGGACTTGATTTAGAATCTGTATCTGAGGAACAAAAGAAAGCACAAAGCCCTCTTCTCCATGTAATGAGAAGGATTTGTCTCTTTTTCTACTTTTACCCAAGTACAGGAATCCTCCATCTTCTATGAGTCAGAACCTAACCTGGTACTCTTCTCTAGCCTAGGCAATGTGAATGAAGCTTTCATTTGAGACCCTCGTCTTAAATAAAGCAGTCAGCTACCCATCAAATTCTTCACACCCAGCAGAGTATGTGTTTAGAGCATTTATTTTTCTTCACCCCTAAGCAACATTTTTCTCTCCAGTCTTCCATATCACTAGCTGACTTTATTTTTTCTTTCTCCTCACTCAGAAAAATTTTTTGACCTCCTGTTGTACAGTTGAGCTCATAAAAATGATATAGGTATTAACATCGAAATAAAAAGAACACACACACACACAGAGTGAGAGAGAGGGAGGAGAGAAAGAAAGAAACAGAGAGAGAGAAATGAAAGAAAGAAAGAAAGAAAGAAAGAAAGAAAGAAAGAAAGAAAGAAAAGAAAAGAAAGGAAGGAAGGAAAAGAAAGAAAAAGAAAGAAAGAGAAAAAAAGAAAAAGAAAAGAAAACTGTGGCCACAGTGGAGAAGTAGTTTATTTTACCCCATGCCAGAAAAATATTCCATGTTTTCTCCTTTAATTCTTTCAGTCCTGAAATAAATCATATTTTCTTAAATTCTCACATAGAATGCAAAGAACAAAGTGGATCACTACTCTTTAGAATTCTCTTTCTCCCTGCTTTATGTGCAAGTCCCCTATGTGCAGATTGCGATGTTTAGAAAACTTCAGTTGTAGACTGGCCAATAGATTTGAGGTTAGGACAGGCAGGAATATTTCTGTTTGTAATCCCTATTAATTTTTAACTGTGTATATTTAAGGTATACAGAATGATGTTTATATATATATATGCATATACATAGACATATACATAGTGAAATGGTCATTACTATGTGCCTGTGTGTGTGTGTGTGCATGCACACACGTGCATGTGTATGCTAAGAACACCTAAGCTCTACTCTCTTGGCAAATTTTCGGTATACAATTTCTGTGGTTTTAATTCTTGCTCATATTGGTTTATCCCTCACTTAAAAAGAGTCCCCATTTCTACAATATTATTAACTCACTGCTTTATCTCATTGATTTATCCCTCACCTGAAAAGAGTTCCCATTCTACAATATTATGAACTGTGGTCATGCTGTATATTAGATCTCTAGACTTATTCTTCCTACATAACTGCAAGTTTGTATGCTTTGAGCTACTTTTCCGCATTTCCTCCACTACCCGGGCCCCCTAAGCCCCTTTCCCGTTTCTATTTCTGTGTGTACTTTCCCTTTCTTATCCTCTCACTGCCATATCTGTCATGTCTTTCACTTTTTAAAATCCATTTATTGTCTTTTCTCTATTCATTTTCTTTTGACTCTATTTCTGGGTCACTGACAATGATTCTTTGTGGTTCTTTGTTGATTTTAGTACAACTTAATCACACTGAGGTCGAAAGAGAAATAATAGAAAAGAACTGGGAGTAATAACAAGACTGTTTCAAAGGGCAGAGGCATGAATAGGCTTATGTCACACATTCACCTATTCCAGGTAATTAAGGGAGAACTACTGAACATAAGACCATTTTTTTACAGCCTCTCTAGTATCAAAACCTATTCTCTGCTAATCAGCTTATCGCTTATCTTAAAATCGCTGAAAATAATTGGAACAAGACATTACAATACTGTAATAAATTTAATTTTTTTCACAGATGAGAATAATTCTTTTTCCTTTTGCATAAATGGTACATCATCTTTCTCATAATTTTACTCTCTTTAGCAAACTATATCCACATACAAAATGTGCTAAAATCTACCAACTATTTATAATTTAAAAATTCACACTTACCTGAAATTTAAATATAAGGCAATTGAATCAATATGCCTAGTTAATTTGCAATCAGTAGCCCATTTCTCAAATGATCCACAGTTCCATTTTGTCTTTCTCTGACTAAACTTTTCTTCACTATAGTTAAAGTCATATTTTCTTTCTGTTCCTATGTCTGTGGCTTTTTCTCTCTTTATCTCATTTTATGTGTCAAATTATCTTTACTATCTTTTCTAGCCTCCTTCCTGCTGCCATTTTTTTATATTTTGTTTTTATCTAAGTTTGTGTCTTTTCAGCATGTAATCCTCTATTTTTTCCGGTCCCTTTGATTGGCTGTTTCTTTCTTCTAATTTCTCTTTGTGTGTCTGTGGTTTAAGTTGCTGCTCTTACGGGCTTATCTCTCACCTGAGAAAACTTCCCATCTCTACCTGAAAATCAAACCTGTACTGATTAAAGATGCTACAATTTTAAGTCTCTATGAACCTCAGGTTTTGAAAACCTTCGACTCTGTGAGTGGTGAGGCTTGAAGGCTTCCACCATCTCTATAAATACTCCTGGTGTCTCCTGGCAAAGAAAATTAGGGATTGGTGTCAGAGTCTGTTGGATCCCCAGAGATGAAATGGCCATAAAAAGCCCTTAACCACAGGTATGGCAAGAGCATATGATCATAATACTGAAAATAGTAGAAATGCATCCCTGTTTTCATCCACCATTCTTAGTTCTCTAATAGTTTTCTCAAATGAGTGTAAGAAAGTAAATTTATGATAACTACTGTGATCCAGAAGAATACTGAAATTTCGGCTTTAACTAGGGGCATTGTACAGAACAATGATGAGAAAGTGCAATGATAAGTCTTTCCATTATAAGATGTTTACCACATTTCACTAAACAGAGTTATTTATTAGTCATGTGCTTCATAAGCATTTATTAAGCAACAGGGTTCAAGAAGGCACACTAAGCACTTTAAAGGCAAACGCTACTATCCAGTTCATTGCTGCTTCCTCAGTGCTTGGTAAGAAGCATCATCTCCCAACACATTTTTTTTCTTTGCATATTGGCTATCCTACCTCTTTGCATTTATTAATAAATTTTAGAAACAGGTTATCCATTTCTACCAAGATATACATTGAGACTACTATTGAGAATGTATTGAATCTGTAGATCGATTTGGGGAGAATTTACATGTTTAGAATGTAAGATAACTAATCCAAGAACAGGAACTTCAATTAATTAAGGTCTTTATTTTTTCTCAATATTATTTTATACTTGTCTGTTTGGAGATTACATATTTTACACTAGGTTTATTCTCACATATTTGGCATTCAATTGTGCTAACGTAAGTAGCATGATTAATTTTTTCTAAATATTTGGGACTGTTACATAAAAATAAAGTTAATTTTTCTTTTTTCAGAAAAGCTGAACTTATTTTTTATTTTTAATAAGTGATCTGTATTCTCTAAGGCCTTATTTTGCACCAAATCACACCTCCACAAGTAATGTCAGCTTCTTTTTCTCTTATTTAAAATCTTCATTATCGTTTTCTATATTTATTGCTTTGTTGCATTGGATAAGATCTCCAGTGCATTTTGGGGAGAAGGGATAAAAATTGTTTTCTTTTCTTTTTGCAGATATCACAGGTGTGGTTAACAACATTTTACCATTAAGTATGTTTGCTAAGATTTTTTGTACCTGCTTTTATCCGAGAATGTTGTCATCTTCTATTGTTCATGTGATAAGGGATTTTGTCAAAAATAGATGCTGAATTTCATAAAATTATTTTGGGTTTATTGAAATTCATGCTTTTATGATACATATTATTTTTCTTTAATATCATGTTAATGTGATTAATTATATTGATTGATTTTCAAATATCAACTTGTCTTTCTGGAATAAACTCAAGTTTGGAATGCCATTTTCTTTTCTTTATTTATTGCCAGATTTGGTTTGCAAATATTTCGTTTAGAATTTTGACATCGATGTTCATCAGTAAGCACGGCCTGAAATTTTCCTTACTGTAATGTCTTTGTCATGTTTTGTTATGAGATTGAGATTACACAAAGCTCTAAAATACCTGAAGAAATATTCTTTCTCTTCTCCCCGGGAAGATTTTGCATATGCTGGTATGTTGTTTTTTAATTAAATGGCCATCCCAGGGTAGTTTTAATTATAGGCTTTCTAGTTAATCCTTACGGACAATTCAGGTTTTCTCTTTGTCAGTTTTAAAACTAGTTGTGGAGAGATGTAATTAAGGATTACATTATCCAACATTTATAGGACCATTTAGATCTTCTATTTATTCTTTTACCAATTTTTATAAATTGTATTTATCTAGGAATACATAGTTTGGATATACATTTTGATATTTATTGGTTATAAGTTATTCTTAAGTACTTTCATAATTTTTCAAGATCTGCAGTAGTCACACGGTATCTGCTTTTCTCATTACTCATGTTGTTTTGATATGCATTTTCTTTTTTATACTACTAGTGTCACAGTAGATTGACAGTTTCATTGGCTTTTCAAATAGTCAACTTCAGAGGTTAGGTTCTCCAGAAGCAAATACAAAGGGAGAGTTTGAGATGCAAAGGACTTGTTAGGAATTGAGTGTTGATTCAGCTGCCCTGAACTTAACTTTGTTTAAGTTACTTGACTTAACCAAAGTTTCATAGCTAATAACTAGATAAGCCATTAAACCAATTGGTCTCCATAACTGGCATATTCAATACAGCATAGAAAATAACATTCCTTAAACTCTACCTGTGTAGGAAAATGCAAAGGTCTATTCCTAATCTTATGCTTTCTTTTCTTGCAGTCCCGTGGCCATCTCTGCCAGAGTTCTCCACTGTTGTGTACACTTCTTTCTTGTTCTGATCACAGTGGTTGAACATAGCAAATGCTGAGACATATCAAATTATGAGGACAAAATATTACTCTTTAAAACAATCTTTATTGTGACTCAGTAGCGTTTTGAGTGTCGGTTCAGCTAACCTGACTAGGTTGCATTCTTTAGGGCTTCATCCTAGCAGTCCCCAAGGCTGCTCTAGTGCTTTCAGTTCTTTGATCCTCCAATAAACTCCCTGAAAGGACAGGTTGAATAAGTCCTCTGTGCTAACATTAAGGTATGTCAGATGAACATTTTTCTCCTATGGAAACAGAAAAAAAAAACAACAGTAAATTTCAGGTGAAATTTTCCTGCCCAGATCTCCCTTCTCTTCCTTAAGCAGCACAGACCATACAAATGCTGGATCCTTTGGATATCATCGGCACTGAGCTGGAAGGTTCTAGGGTCGTGATACCAGTAAGTGGGGTACATTATGGAGCTCTGATTCCCAGAGTGCTGCAGGCCCAAAGAATGCCCAATCTCATGAGTTGCAACCAGGAACAGATTATATCCTGAAAAATTATAGAAAAAAAAAAGATAAAATTAACTATGCATAGGGAATGCTGAAAGTGTGTGAAATAGGACAAAGAAAAAGGAGAGAACAGAAAACGAGGAAAGGGCAAATGTTACAGGGTAAAGGAAAAGGTAGGCAAGGAGGGAAAGAAAGTAAGTAGAAAACAGAATGGCAAGATATTTGGACAGATAAACTTGAAGTGAAAAAGACACATGGAAAGAAAGAGGGACTGGCAAATAGAAGCAAAGAGATAAGGAGAAAAAAACACAATCTGACAATGTGTTTATTATGGGATCATCTGTGTTCAGAAATGATCCCACATCTCCTCACTTATAAAGAAGACCTGATTCCTCAGCCAAATCTTCCACCTCACCCTGACCACTCTGGATCCCTAAATGGAAACCATCAACACTGAACCCCAGGTTCCCAGAGAGTTCTAGCGATCCCACCAAACAAGGCATTTACCAGTGTCTGAAGCTGACCAGTGTTCATTCTTGTCAAAATGGACAACTCCAGGATTTCCAGAATTTGGTAAAAAGGCATGGCCTAAGATACCACCTGGCCCATCAAAGGGCCAACCATCTTCATGGGCTGTGGACGACAGAAGCTATGATCACAATGAGGGTGGAGGTAGAAACAAAGGCCAGAATAGTCTTAAGTAAGCCTCAGAGACTTAGGATACTGTGCAACAGTCTACCACTGGGGGATGTGAGAGAGCTAAGGCATTATCTATGCAGAGAAATAAGGTGGGGCCCAAAATCTTCCTACTCTCTTATCTAGGGTAAAAAGAAAGACAGACAGATGGCAGACACTGAGTAAAGCTTACAAGTTAGACAACAATAATAATGATAACCTCTTTTCAAAATGGTAGGGGAAAAGGGAAAGAGAATTTAAACTCAGAAAGTTTTTATAAGTAAGTTGGTTCAACTTTGAATAGCATTTCAATAGATTTCGGAGCTATGCATCGTCTTTTTGGAAGGAAAATGTGCAGTACCCCCACCATATTCACACTGCAGCCAACACCTCTTCTTTATTTATTGCTTCATTTTACTAAAAATGTCTTCCCTATTACAGGATTTGCTTTGCAGTAGGGTTTTGTCAGACTTTTTTTCTCAGAAACTTTAATAGGGGGGCTAGGTTTTTGTTTAAGGATGGAAACCCTTTGTCCTTTACACAGGGCATATACATATCCTTCTTCCCATGTCAATTTCTTACCCCACTGCCAGAAAGAAACCTTGATGTCTGCATCTCCATTCTGCACTTGCTGGAATATCAAAGGGGTCACATTGCTCCAGATGGAAACTGCATTATATATACTGTCTTTCACTGCGGATGGCTTCATATCATGTGGGTAATTGATAATCCTGAGGAAAGCAATCTCTAAATGAAATAGTTCAGAGGAATGGGAATTATCCTAGCTCTAAACATGAATAATTCTACTTTGGGGAGAATCATTTAATAGTTTTAGGACTCATTTTGGTTATTTATAAAGTTGAGCTAATTTCAGACTAATTAAATCAGAAACTTAAGGAATTAAACATGCAAATATAGATTTCTAAGAATTTTAACAATATCCCAAATTATTCTTAGGTCAGCTAAAGTCTAAGAATGACAGTCCTATCTGGTGGTTGGGGAAAAATAAGTAAATAAAACAATGTGAACAAAATTAAATTAAATTAAATATACAGCATTCTACATAAATTAAAATGTATAGCATTCTACATAATTTAGTACTGCTTGCTTTAGATATCTCAAGTATATTTAGAATCCCCAACAGAAAGAGTAACCTAGGCAGAAATTAAGTTTTCAAAATTGTACCTTAGAACCATCCACACACTCACGCATTAAAATTAAAAAGAAAAGATTTAACAAAGGGAAAGGATAGTGGTTATGCTCTCTACTTTCTAAAGAGATGGTTAGAGGAAGCTAGAAAAGGATCTGGTAGTATTACCTTCTCTGAGGGAGATTTTGGGCTTTGAGCGGGCTGCCAATGAAAGCAGAAGAGAGTAGAGGTACCTCCAGGAGAGACCTGGTAGAAAGCCCTTTGAGGTCATCACCCCACACATTATCCTCTAGGCCTTAGTAACAAGCACCTGTAAGTTAGAGTGTGCTTATTCCACTTGCATCTTCCTGGCGAGATGGAGGTGTCGGACCCATCAGGCACCCCACAGTGGGGCTGGTGTAGCAGAGCATGCATCTGCATGTCAAGTAGGTCTGTCCCATTCCGATGGAATTGTTGCAGGAGCTGTGTTTGTGTCTCCTGGGTAAGGAGTGGCGACTCCTTCTTGGTCAGGAAAAATTGATGGAAATAGCCCTGAATCAGATCAAGAAGGATGAGTACTAAGAGTCAATAGGGAAGACCCATATATCAGTTACCCTGGGCATAGCCTTCTTTGAGGGTCTCAGAAGGACGGTACTTAGTCTGGCCTTCCTAAGTCTCCTGTTCTCAGTCAGATGATGGCAGCCATCCCTGATTCTTTATGCCACAGTGAAATGATATGAATGAGAAGTGACAGAATAAAAATAACATGGATAAACTATAACATTTTTTTAAAAGAAAAAGCTTCCAAGTTTTAGGATGGAGAAACCCAAGTATAAACGACAGGAAGATATTACCTGGGAATTCCCCGGGGAAGATGGCCTCTGGTCTTTCTGACTGATGGAGGTTTTCTTAATCAGGATACAATCAATCACTCCAGGACATAAAATTTGGCTGGTTCTGCATTCCCCATTTCATTTGCATTTACTTCCATTTCATTAAGTTACTTTTAAAGAGCCCGTTGTTTACCTATTCCTTGTCTCCACTGATTTTTCTGCCAGTCTAGTGTATTAAATGTAAACTTCTAAATACAAAAAAAGCACATTGTATTGTAATTAGGCTTTCTCTGTCTGTATTTGAATGCTAGCTGGACTCAAAATACTTTAAGGGCAATGCTCATGTCTGATACAGCTTGATCTATTATTCCACAGTTCTTATGAGTACTTGACGTAAACCTATTGACTGTTTTTTTTAAATTATATGACTGCATTTTTATGCCTTTGTTTTATTATCAGCTGAGCTGGGCACTAAGAGGCAAATGACTTATTGTATTGTTCTGGACTAAACATTAGCAGGAAATTTGACTAGGTTCCTATACAATTACAAAATACATGACTGCAACCAGTTATAACATTTTTTAGGTATTTTGGATGCTTAAAAGTTTGGAGCAAATTCATAATTTTTTTAGAAATTGAAAGTGTGTGGTAGACCGACTGGGAGATTACTCAGTCAATGTGAAGGTCCCATTAATTTATTTGAATGATTTCCCTTGATCTCTCACTCCAGTATATAGATCAGAGACCTATATACTGGAGTGTTCACTCTATGCCATATAGAAGACTAAGAAAGTGAGAGATGAGCAATGGGGCTGAATTAGGCACAGAAGGCACAGTGCCTAGGGCCCAAAAACACTTTTAGGGGCTACAAAAAATTAATTTTTTTCTTAAAATTAGAAGAGAAAAATGAACACATAGATAGAATAAAATGTTTTCATGTGTAATATTAATGTGTGTATTTATCATTATACCATGCAGTCACACATACACACACACACGAAATAAGAGCCCACAATGGTCACCATGTAATAATGTGGTCCTGAGTCGTTCACCTACCTCAACAAAGTCCCATCCTTTATGGTCTGCAGCAGGGGGCACTGGAACGGCGAAACACCAGGGCAAGAAGATAGTAACTCTTAAGATGACGAGCTGCATGCCAAACCCTCATTTGTCCCACTGCTTGAATTCAGGTACACAACTTGGGCCACTGGATCTTTATAGCTGTGCCAGCAACATCCAATGACTCACTCTGCCAGTTTGCCCTTTCTTTGAATCTGTGAGTGGCGTCATCATCCATACCTGCTGAGGGCAGAGTGACCAGCATGCAAGGGTGACAAAAGCAGCCATGGAATTTATTTTTAAGCTCAGTTCACACCTGATGGTCCTCAGCATCCCGGGCCACAGGCCTGGTTAAGGAAATACAGGTCAGTCTCAGAATATAGGGGGCATCATTTTTTAAAATAGGGGGGAAAACAAGAAACAGGAGGTGTGTCGAAACTCATTACAGCTTTATCTATAGAATAATTACCAGTCAGAGACATTCAATCTTGCTCCAGAAGCTAAAAAGAGAAAAAAGAATAAAATCAAGGGAAATAAATAATGTCTGCTGTAATAAAGATCCAGATCAGAGTATGAAAATCTCCAAGACCTGGCCTGGCACGATGGCTCACGCCTGTAATCCCAGCACTTTGGGAGGCCGAGGAGGGCAGATCACAAGTCAGGAGATCGAGACCATCCTGGCTAACACGGTGAAACCCCGTCTCTACTAAAAACACACAAAATTAGCCGGGTGTGGTGGTGGGCGCCTGTAGTCCCAGCTACTCGGGAGGCTGAGGCAGGAGAATGGCGTGAACCCGGGAGGCGGAGCTTGCAGTGAGCCGAGATCGCGCCACTGCACTCCAGCCTGGGCGACAGAGGGAGACTCCGTCTCAAAAACAAAAAACAAAAAACAAAAAAAAACCACAAAAAACAAAACAAAAAAAATCTCCAAGACCTATGTAAAAGAGATCTAGAAAAACACAGAAAGAGGTAGTTAATAGCTATATGTTGAAGAAAACAAAGCATTGATAATAAGTTGACACGCACACGTCTATAGATGTACATGTTTATGTATATGTATAGATACATATACATATATATCTCACAGCAAAATATTTCAGCTATTACCTTAGAAATCACACGACTCGGCTGGGTGCAGTGGCTCACACCTGTAATCCCAGCACTTTGGGAGGCTGAGGAGGATGGATCACCTGAGGTCAGGAGTTTGAGACCAGCCTGACCAACGTGGTGAAACTCCATGTCTACTAAAAATACAAAAAAGTAGCCGAGCATGTGGCACGTGCACTCCAGCCTGGGCAACAAGAGCGAAACTCCATCTAAGAAAGAAAGAAAGAGAGAGAGAGAGAGGGAGAGAGAGAGAGAGAGAGAGAGAGAGGGAGAGAGAGAGAGAGAGAGAGAGAGAAAGGAAGGAAGGAAGGAAGTCACAGAACTCTGGAAATGAGTCCTAACTCTGCTACTTAAAAGCTGTTCAACTAGGCCAGGCGCAGTGGCTCACTCCTGTAATCCCTGCACTTTGGGAGGCTGAGGTGGGCGGATCACCTGAGGTCAGGAGTTCAAGACCAGCCCGGCCAACATAGTGAAACCCCGTCTCTACTAAAAATACAAAAAAATTAGCCCAGCATGGTGACAGGCCCCTGTAATCCCAGCTACTTGGGAGGCTGAGGCAGGAGAATCACTTGAACCCAGAAGGCGGAGGTTGCAGTGAGCCGAGATCATGCCACTGCACTCCAGCCTGGGAAACAGAGTGAGATTCTGTCTCAAAAAAAAAAAAAAAAAAAAAAAAAAAAAAAAAAAAATCGACTGGGCATGGTGGTGCTCACTTGTCCCAGCTACTCAGGAGGCTGAGGTGGGAGGATCATTTGAGCCTGGGAGGTCTTGGCTGTAGTGATCCATGATCATGCCACTGCATTCTAGCCTTGACAACAGAGTGAGATCCTATCTCCAAGAAAAAATAAAAAAATAAAAATAAAAGAATTAAAATGGAAGATAATGAAAGAATTTGTTAAAAATACACAATTATTGAGGGCTTATTATAAGGCAATTCTGTGTTTTAAACCTTTGGTATAGATTAAAATATAGTATAAAAATTTTATAGGTTAAAAAAAATGAGACTCAAAGAGGTGAAAGAACATGCCAAAGTCACACTATTAATGAATAGAGAAAATTCGCTTCAAATCTATTAACGAAATACTTCATCAACAGGATTAAACAACATGATATATATGTGGAGGGAGGTCAACAGATAGATGAGAGATAGATAGATGGTTACTACTCAACAGCAGCAGGCAACAGAATAGACAACATTAAAAACATGTTGAATTAAAGACATGGGAAACCAAATGGTAATCCTATTTGAGGCTCAAGAACAAGGAAAGCTAATTTTGCAGAAAGCAATGAGTATAGTGGTTGCCTCTGTCATGGAGGGGATTGTTGGTAAAGGAGCACAATAGAAATTTATCCAGGAATGAAATGTCTATTTCTTGACTGATATCTGGGTAATACAAATATATTCACTTTTTGAAACTCACTAAGCTGTACACTTAAGATTCATATATCATACCATTAAACCTCTACAAAAATAAATACAATTTCAATGAATTAAGAAAATAAAAATATAGATTAATAAGGTACCAAAAGCGGCACCCATTTCACCATGAGGAATATAGAACTGTAATATAAATGGTAATGTATGTGGTCAAATGAGCATATAAATAATCATTTTGTGGATGATATTGTAATGCGAGTGCTATATCCCAGTTAATGTTCTAAAAGAAGAACGTTATGTGCTAAAGACATGGGTAAATAATGGAATGTCAACCAGAGGAATTAATAAAATAAGATATATGTGATATACTTGGAAAAGAGAATATGGTTAATCTGAAAAAGGCAAGATGGATTTAAGACTGCCTATGGAAACAATGATGTTTGTTGTTAGACAAATATGGTATAGAGATTGTTATTCCTGATAACCTCTATCAACTTTGTAAATTATGAGTTTGTTCACTAAAATCTCATGGTGATATAGACCTTATTATATTCTCATTTCAAAGATTAATAAACTAGGGTTTGGGGAATATAAAACTCTTTCCATGGAAATGATAAAATATTGATATTTACATCTATATCTGACTAAGTTTTAAGTCAGATTATGTATTAAATGAGGCATGCTGCTTATCACTGCTGGCAGATCTCCATCAATAATATCATCGACATATCTTTGATGTTTCTATGGCCTGAATACATTCAAAAACCTAAGCTCAGTGGAATCACAATGAAAGAAACAAGGTGAAAATGACTAAAACTTATTCAAAATCTATAGTAGTTTTGAAAGAAGCAAAAATAAAAAAAAATCCTCTAAGTCTCTCACACTTTCTCCGGTGTTCTGAACATAGACTTCTCTAGGATGGTTAAAAATCAGGTTAAATCTCTCTATCCCATTGAAAGAAGGTGACCAGAGAACCCCCATAGAGCATGGTTCCTCAATCACTCTGATGTATTCTTGAAATTCTGTTGCAGAAATGTTAATAAATGAAACCCTCCTGAAATTTCAAAATATTCTGTTGTACACAATAACTATACACAATTTATATTTGTCAATTGACAAATTTACTAACAAATTGAAAAAAATGAAATATAAAGAAGCCCTCATATTTTCCAGGCCCATAAATGACACTGTAGGCTCATTAATGACAGCGACGTCAAGTTGCATTAATATCTGTAGCACAGACTTTGGAACTTGGAAGGAACCCATTATTCATTAAATTAATAAAAGTGTTCAGTAAAAAAAATCTCATAGCTGGTAATGAAATCAGAAGTGAGTGAATACTTAACAAACTATTGATACATACGAGCATATAATTCAGATCGCTCAACACAGGACAAGTGATCATTATAACAACTTATTGAGCGCATACGCTGTGCCAAGAATGCACTTTCTTCATCAACACAACTACCTGTGAAGTAGGTGTTTTATAGTATTCATCTTATAGTTAAGGAAATGAGGCTTTGAGGTCATTTAATTGTCATTTTGGGGGGTCACAATGCTCAAAGTTATGTATAGAAGTTATAAATAAAGAGTATTTTATTCTGAAGGCAGAATCTTTGATCACTGGCCTGGATTGCCACTTTTGATGAGACTGCCCCGTCTTTCATCTTGACACGCACCTCTCTAATGCTGCTCCTGGAACTCCCAGTATGCCCCATGCAATCCGATAGGGCCGGCACAGATGAGCAGCCATCTGTAAGCCTGACCCAGCACTCAAATACATGAGTGCTGACTGCTGAGAGCCAGCTTAACTAAGAAAGCAAATGAGTGACTTATTAACGATTCAGCTGCTGATAAGGGAAGTAATGTGTTGAAAGCACAACAGTGTTTCTCAAAATGTAATATGCATAGAATCGCCTGTGGATATTAATAAAAATGCAGATTCTAATTCAACAGGTCTTGAATAAGCCTAATATTCTAAATTTCTAACAAGATCCTAGGTGATGCCAATGCTGCTGATCCAAAATCAAACTTTTTAAGTAGTTATGAGGCAGAAGATATTGGCAATGTAAGGAACAAAAGACCTGTGAATTTAACCAGAAAGTTTTAATAATGGATACCAGATTTTATATATTATTTTTAAAATCAGAACTATGGAAACAGGCCCCTATCTCTCCTCTCACCCCCATCTATGCTTTCATCTTTCTCATTATGGCTATAGTATTTGATCTGCTGGGTATAAACATCTGGCCTGTGCCTAGGACCTCTCCTAGCAGATTTTGAATTGTTTCCCATCTCCTTCTGGAAGAAATGAGAAAACGTAATTTTGAAGATATCAGACTGCACGGCCACTTTTTCTGTTACTCAGGTAAAGAGTGGGTGCAGGGAGAGTTTGTGGGGCATTGGAAAATTGATGCCATTGTCATGACACTGGCAGCTCTTCTGGAGAAGATTCAATATCTAA
The DNA here is from genome assembly GCF_000001405.40 of Homo sapiens. Taxonomy (NCBI): domain Eukaryota; kingdom Metazoa; phylum Chordata; class Mammalia; order Primates; family Hominidae; genus Homo; species Homo sapiens. The sequence continues at coordinate 4,983,358 of NC_000011.10, read as the reverse complement.
TTCATTTTGACAGAGAACAAATGCTTTCACCGCAATACCATAGTTTGAGCTAATGCTAAGAGAAGGATTACCAATAGAGAGCATAGAGGGTAATGAGATAAGAACCATGGGGCTGGGCAGGCTGCAAGGAGCCATCGATGCCCCAGTACAGCACAGAACCACACAGTCATTTAGTGATCATCATAGAAAGTGTATATTTTCTCTCCTGAAACTATTTTGCATTTGCAATTTATTTATTCAACTGAGAGAATGGCATATTACTGGTGTGCAAAGGCTATTAAGACACAAAGCCTGCTTTAAGTTAGTTTACCGTCTCATAGAATGGTCTATTAAATAAACATAGAATTGTGAGACAGTAATAAGCCTCAGAATAAAAACCTATACAAGCTTTGCTAGTGGCTAATTGGAGTGAGATCTTAACCCACATGGATTTCTATGAGGAGGTAAATAGAGGAGGTGATGTAACCTGGACCTTACACATTTCAACAATGTTGTAGGAACGCTGGGAAAAAGCCTAGAACCTCAGGTCATTTCTTTTGATTAGAGTATAGGTTTTGCCTGAGCAAACCTCTTTCATACAGATAAGAACAGAGAGTGAAGTAAGAAATGGATCCCGTAGGGATTTAAAAGTCATGTAAATATTTTATACCCTTTACCTCTTGTAAATATGTATTTATACTGGTGTTTATTCAGATAAGTATACTACTTATCAAAATAGTAATTATAAGAGTAACCAACTTTTACTGATTGTTAAGTGCTATTTGTATGAATTATGTCATTTAATTACATGAACAACTTTTATTTTACAAATTAGGGAATTAAGACTCAGGGAGTTGAGTAATTTGTCGAAATTTAGAGACTTTACAATTGCCAGAGCCTGCAATTTTTAACTTTCATACAGGCAGACGTAAACATGTATAGTCATGTGCCACATAACAGTGTTATTCAATAATGGACCACATTAGCATGGTGCTCCCATAAGATTGTAATGAAGCTGGAAATTCCTATCATGTAGTGACATTGTAGCTGTCGTAACGTCATAACACATTGCATTTCTGATAATGCTGATATAAAGAAACTGACTTCACCACCAATCCTACAGAAGTATAGCACATACAATTATATACAGTATATAATTCCTGATAAAGATAATAAACAACTGTTATTGGTGTATGTATTTACTACACTAAAATTTTATCATTCAGAGTGTACTCAATATATATGTATATGTTTATATGTGTATGTATATTGTATATATGTATGTATGTATATTGTGTGTATATATATATATACATACATACATATATATGTAAAGTTAACTGCAAAACAACTTCAGGCAGGTCAGTCAGGAGGTATTTCAGAAGAAGGAATTGTTGTTATAGGAGATGACAACTCCATGCACCCTGAAGACCTTCCAGTGGGACAAGATATGGAGGTGTAAGACAATGATATTGATGATCCTGAGCCTGTGTAGGCCTAGGCAATGTAGTGTTTATGTATTAGTTTCTAACAAAAAGTTTAAAAAAGAAAAAAAAGAAAAAAACTTAAAAGTATAAAAAGCTTATAGAATAAGGATATAAAGAAAAAATTTTTTACAGTTATACAATGTGGTTGTGTTTAAGCTAAGTGCTGTTACAAAAGATTCAAAAGTTTAAAAAATTGAAGTTTGTAAATAAAAAAGTTATAAGAAGATAGGTTAATTTATTATTAAATAAGAAAGTTTTAAGCTAAATTTAGGGTAGCCTAAGTGTACAGTAGTGTACATTCACTCACCAATCACTCCCTGACTCACCCAGAGCAACCTCTAGGCCCACATGCTCCTTTTATAGTAAGTGCCCTACCAAAGTGTAGCATTTTTAATCTTTTATGTTGTGTTTTTACCATACATTATTTATGTTTGGATATACAGATATTTACTATTGTGTTACAATTGTCTATAGTATTTAGTACAATAGCATGCTGCATGGGTTTGTAACCTAGGAACAATAGGCTATAGCATATACTTTAGCTATGCCATCTCGGTTTGTGTAAATACACTCTACGATGTTCTCATGACAATGCATTTCTCAGAATGAGTATCTCTATCATTAAGCGTTGTATGACATACACACAGGTATGCACACAAACACACCTATATGTTTTATAAAAATTATACATGCTTATATTTTTAAAAATCAAACAGTACAAAAATGTGAGAAAAGAAACAACAGTTCCTTGACTCTCCTTTGCCATCTTCAGTACACTCTCTAAAGGAAGCAATTTTGAGTTGTTTAAATTTCTTCTTTTATAAGTTTTTCCAGTAATAACATTCAGCTACTTAACTAATATGTTTATATTGTTATTTATTGATTTGCAGTTTTAGATAATATCTATTGTCATATAAATAAGAATTCACCTTAACTGAAAGCCCCTTAAGTCCTGTCCTTCTTAATATGTTTATGTTATGATTTTATTTTCTTCATTGTGTATGCTAAGCTTCTAAACAATATTATCATTGTACTTCTCATTAAAACAGATACAAATAATATTTCTTCACCCTTCACTTAGGAAAATGAGGATATTAATGTCCACAAATACTTCCTTCAATGAACTATATTTTTACTTAAAAATTGTTTATATTATTTTGTCACCACAAAGTAATCTTTCATATTTTTCTTCAAATAATTTCTTCATATTTTCAAGAAATAACATGTATAATTCTATGACTATGGGAATATAAATAGCACAGAATTTTTGCATATCCATTTTATTTGCACAGCTTTCACTATTTCGTTGGGTTTTTCATTAGTTTACTTTTCCTTTTGCATTATCTTGTCTTAGTAATCTCCTTAAATTTAAATTTTTTCATATTTTATGTTTTATTTTGTTTTCCATCCCTATATTTTGTTCTTTGCTTGCAGTCAAGTGTTCAATATATACATTGTATAAAAGACCTTCATGTAATGTTACCCCAAAAGAAAACATACATGGGTCATGGAAGATGTGGTGTCTTCTGCCCTCACAACTGTGGACTCTTGTCATGTTAAATTCACTGGTTTCGAAAGGAGGTACACTTTTTCCATAAATAAACTACAGCTATCATCTGGAAACTTTGGTGTCTTTATACTCAGAAACCAAATGGCCGGAAGAGGACTACTCATATTTTCAAGGGTAACTGACCCTGATACTCAGGAAAAAGAAAAACTGTCATAAAACATGCAAAAAAGCCAGGTAATGGAGCTGGAATAATCCTCTCTGGGGATTATTCTACTGGGCAATACTCAGTCCACAGCTTTAGCCTGGATTGGCCAAAGTTTTATCAGTCCTGTATTATACTTTTACTTTTCTTTCTGTGAAATTCTGCTTTTTCCCCTTCCCTTTCACAAATATTGAACTCTTAATACATTAAGTCTATATCATGACAGAGGGTATGAGAATTAACATAACACCGGGGCAAAACTGTAAATGTGAATTGCTCTCTGTTCCATATAAACATGAATTATTTCTGATTTTTTAAATTATTGTTTTCTGCGTGGGATAGAATAAAAGTATTTATCAAATGAATGCCTGTCATGTACCTAAGGCTAATGAATCTAAGAAATCTGTCCAGTGGTTGTAACTACTAGTTGGTTGAACTTCCAGCAGTCTACAGTCATTTTCCAAGGTATAGCTGGAGTCTGCAGAGACCACACAAGTGCATTAAAAGGAGATAAGTTAGGGACTGTGATGCTAAGTTTCATCAGCCACCCTGGGGTATGGTATTTGTTTTGGAATTAACTTATTAGCCCCAGACATTTGGAGGCAATTTCATAGAACTCTGTTTGGTCTTTCTCACTATAAAAGCTCTGACTCATTAAACTAAGGATTGAGCCACTACCAAATACATCAGTCTCAATTATACATTAGAGGTATCAGTGCCAATTCAGATCCTGCATCCAACAGTCCTAAAAATGACACGATGTTCATTTTTCACCAGTGTAGTTACTCAAACAAGTGACTGTCAATCCCTTTGGAGGACCAGGGAAATCAGTATAATGTGTATAATGGTGTTAAAATAACCAACCTGGGGATTTATTCAATCATTGGTTTGCAGTCTGAACGAATTCAGATCTGGAATCTTGGCAAGGGCTCGCAAATTCTCTGTGAAGCAACTGCTCTCAGCTTCATGGTTATCCATCTTTGATTTCCTGTGTGGATGCAAGCCAAGTATCACTGTTGTTGCTGCCCATTATTTTGCTCCTATGGATGCCCCTTTCTACATGCTTCTGGGAGCAATTTCCACAAAATGTTTGTTTCATGTCTGAAGGTTTTAGCTGGATATTAAATTCTATATTTTGTGACAGGACTCACAAGTCATATACTCTTTCCTATATAATTTCATTTTCTAACCTCTTGGACTAAGCAAGCTCAATGTATCATGCTTACTTTGTCATATCTTGCTGGTAGATTCTATCTTATTCTCGTAACTTCTTTAGGGTATAGTCCTTTTCTTCTCTTATCAGACCCAACACCTCACCATCTGTTTATGCTGCAAATTATTCCTAATTTATGACCTGGCGTTGGGAAAATAGGAGAAGGTAGGACCCTAACAACGTAATCCTTTTGTTCTTTCTGAAACTGCTGCTAGTCTGACAAAGTAATGAAATTACACTAATCTGAAGTGTCAGTTAAGTGATGATACGTGAGACAATGTGGCCATATCTTCCAGGACACAGTATGCAAACTAAATCAATATCCATTGTGTTAATTTTTTTAATATGAGGAAAACATTTTTATTATGAAGGAAAAAACAGTGTTGTCATTACTAAACATCGCTTCCATTTACCCACTCTGAGAACCTGTGTTTTATTCCCACTGTGCTGGGCACTGTTGGTTTAGAGATCCTGATTCTAGAGGTAAAAATATTGTACCAAAAGACATAATTTTATTAAACTATTAGAGATGGCATCATGTCATTCTAAGATACCAGTAAGCAAAGAAAATAATTACTTTAATAATCAGAATGAGTTAGAAGTGCTGACACTTGATGTGGCCAAGTAAGAATATGCTTACTGTTAGGTGATCCCTGGGCATCCCTTGACACTTCTTGCCCTGTTTTGATGCTAAATGGATGTCTTTGTCCATTTTTGCACTACTGTAAAGAGATACCTGGGACTGATTAATTTATAAACGAAAGAGGTTTAATTGACTCACTATTCTGCATGGCTGGGGAGGCCTTGGGAAACTTACAATAATGGCAGAAGGCAACAAAGAAGCAAAGGCACATCCTACATGGTGGCAGGCAAGAGTAAGTGAAGAAAGTGAAGGCGGAAGAGCTCCTTATAAAACCATGAGATCTCATGAGAACTCACTCACTATCATAAAAACAACATGGGGGAACCATCCCCATGATCCAGTCACCTCCCACCAGGTCTTTCCCTGGACACCTGGACACCTGGACACCTCAATTTAAGATGAGATTTGGGTGGGGACACAAAGCCTACCATATCAATGCACAAATACAAAAGCCACAGTTTGAGAAGTTTATGGTGGCCAAGGATGAAGTTCTAGCTAAGGGTACAGGAATCTAAGCTAGATAGTAGAGGAGAGGGATAGTATATAACAGTTGGAGCCTCAAGACAGCTGCAGTGTAGGGGACTTTGAGTCATCCCACTAACAGTTCACCTGTCGCTTCTGAATGGACAAAAAAGGCCTATATGAATTCTGAAAAAGCTGCTTCCAGAATTTATTACTGAAGTTTTTTGGTGAAAGTGTGCAACGGTTGAACTGCAGCTGATGCTCAGTGAATCTCCTGGATGTTCTTATTCTGCCAGAACTGAAGCACTCATTCCTCTAGTGAGAGTGTTATAGCTGACAGGTCACATTTGAGTCCTTCTTGAGAATTTCTTTCTTCTGAATGGAACCACTTTATCCAAAGTCATGACCCCTCCCATTTAAAGACTACATCCAATGGCCCGTCAATAGGTTGTTAAAAAGGCCCAGACCTTTCCTCCAATTCAGGACAATTCTGAAGTGGGATCATTTTAGCCCTAGAGATCTCTTCAAGATTAAATATAGCTTTTCTAACAATTGAATGGAATTTAATTTCTCTTTCCACTAGTTCCATTTCCTTTTTTCCCTCATAGCTGTTTAACATAGAAACACTCCCAATAAACTTCTGCACACAAATGTTTAGCTCAATGTTTATTTCAAAGGGATTTCAACGTGCAACAACATCATTATCAAAGACAAATATGAGTAACACAAGAGCAAGAAATCTTTAAGTAACAGTAAAAATACATTTATTTAATATAGGAAGTACTCAGACTAATAGATAAAATTTAAAAAATGAACAAAGGGTATATAGACTGGCCTCTAAAAATAAATTCAGGTGCTCTTAAACATGAGCAGAATAACGACTTTCATTTTATAAGATAAAAATTGCATGTATAAGCAAGTAGCAAAAGTGAATCTGAAAACTCACAGTGGCACAAACATAATGACTTAGGAAAATAAATTGTGAACACTTCTCCAGAAGAACCTATAACTGCAGGCGAAAGAGCAATCAATTCTGTTGAATAAAGAAGAATAGGTCTCATAGGATGTTAACCTTCAATGGCTAATTTACATGCAGTATAGCAATTCAGCTGATTCTGTTTGAGTCCACTCTTATTTAAGGTCTCATCTGTGTAAAGAAAAGACCTGTGGGCTTTTTAATCCCTCTGGGTCTTGCTTCCTGAGGTGTCATCCTCAGAGGCCTTTGTTCCACTAAAAAGGCACCAAGGTAGAAGGGCTAGAGTCAGACCATCAAGATCAATACATGGGCCTAATAGCCGGGATTTGAGTGGCTTTATCCTGGGTTCAGCTCCTTCTTACCTTGAAGTATGGACTAAGCATGATCTTGGTAAGTACCTGAAAATCCTGATGTTCTAATTGCAAGTCTCATTAATCAAGAGCATTAAGATGGGTATTTTATCCTTAATAAGCTGTTATGATTTTACCATTTAATACTTGCTTCCATGTCAACATATACTCAAGGTTTGACAATCTGCATAACACCATCCTGACAACATTATTATACAAACATCATTATCCTATTAATATAAAGAACATGATAACCTTATTTAACAACTTTCATATAAATACTGAACTTTATTTTAACTTCATTTTAAAAAGACATTCTGTATCTGTTACTTCAACTTTTTTGCATTTTTATAAACTAGACAATTTAGTTGAGTAGGCATTTCTGAGCCAAAGACAGAATACTGGACAATCCTATCTGTGCAATGTTCTAGTTCCTCTAGAGTCTCTAAAAGTAACATCTTTTAAAGCAAAATAAAATAATCTTCCAGAAAGCCATAGCATTTTCTAAAGAAAGAGATTTTTATACCCTACTTTTCCTCACTGATTACGAAGTACTTTTTAATCCTATTAAGAGGGCTGGTATAAGCTCAAAGTTATTAGCTGGGTTGAATATGGAGGGATTTAAAACTCAGATTTTAAAAAGTGTACGTTGATTAAATGATGCAGAGCTATTAAAGCAGTTACTGTATGTCAAAAACAATACCAACATCTTGGCAACACAAAGTTTTGGGAGAATGTTCGCTAGAGAACATTTGGGAGGAAATCAAAAGAGGAACCGTATCTCCATACATCCACAGGAGGAACAGCATGGAGGGGAGATGAAGTCAGTGACAGAGAAGGTTGAGGCAGTGAAGCCTGAACTGGCTGTGTTTCATACAAAAGCCATGCAGAATGATCTCAAGCAGCGAAAGGTGCACATTCTTCTCAAACGATTCACTTACCTTAACAATTTTAACATTAAATACACTTTGAACCTCCGTCCTGGCAGGAAAGAACTTCCAATAACTCTATTCAGCCATATGGAATAAATAAGCAAATAACAATCTTACAAGCCCTGATAGAATAAATCTTCAGTTTTCCACTGAAGACTTAATCTCACTCTTTTCAGATTAATATCAGAAGCAAGACTTGGGAGTTGGAGGACACTAGGCCTAACAGGCACAAAAAGCCTTCAGTTGGTAGTTGGACCACTTGACACACCTGGATTAGTGTTTAAAGCAGACAGCCATCATACTGGTATTAGCCACAGTAATAAAAATTTATACATTGCCCTCCTCTGATTTTGCGTGAGGATCTTCCAAACTCTAGGTAAATATTATCTTAACACTTGCCTGATTTTTTTCTTGTGTTTTGTTTGTTTGTTTGCATGTAATTTCTTATTAAATCCAGAACGTCCTAGGCATTTTTAAAAAATGTTATTTCATTTTAAGTTCTGGGGTACATGTGCAGGACATGCAGGTTTGTCACATAGGTAAACTTGTGCCAGGGTGGTTTGCTGCACCTATCAACCCATCACCTAGGTATTAAGCCCAGCATGCATTAGCTATTTCTCCTAATACTCTCCCTCCCCCCACCTCAACCCCTGACAGGCCCCAGTGTGTGTTGTTCCTCTCCCTGTGTCCATGTGTTCTCTTTGTTCAGCTCCCACTTATAAGTGAGAACATGCGGTGTTTGGTTTTCTGTTCCTGTGTCAGTTTGCTGAGGATAATGGCTTCCAGCCCCATCCATGTCCCTGCAAAGGACATGATGTCGTTCCTTTTATGGCTGTATAATATTCTGTGGCGTACATGTACCACATAAAAATCCTTCCTAGGATTTCTTTACAAAGGTGTATACAGAGTTAAGAAGATGATGCAAAGGCACTCCGAAATCTATGGTAGTGAGGAAACAGACAAAAAGAGAAAGAACAGCATGGGATGGTAGATTTTGACAACAAAATTTTATATTGTTCCTCTAAGCAATCAGTAATCACTAAGAAAAACAGAAAATAATAGAGGATGAATGATTCTGTAAAGAATAGCAATAAAATCATAATGATCTAAAAATAAATTTTGTAAAATCCTCTATAAAGAATGACAACGTATTTTTGAGAGATATAAAAGATTCGAGGAAAGGAAAAGAAAATCCATGTTTACAACGAAGACACTATATACATATATTTTTTTTTGAATTTTATGTAAATGTTTTGAACTTTTAAAAAATCTTACAAATTTTTAACAAAATTTTAGACCTTTTTTTTCAGCTGAATTTTTATGACAGAAATTTTAAACAAATTTATAAGCAGGACATATATTGCAACGTTATATTAAAAAGCAAAAGTTTCAAGTCTTTGAGTTGGATAATGTTCGCCTGTATAATTATCTCAGTTGATCAGTAGTCCTTGTATAGGACTTGTACCTGTTATAATCTGTATCTATTTTAAGATTAGATTTTGATATCAATTTGCATTATTTTTTCTCGGTTTTTTGTTTCTAGTTGAGTCTACCTATCTATTTCTCCTTTTAGGTTTGTGTCTAAGAATTATGTCTATATACCTGGTGTTGTAAGACCTCAATGAGTTCAATAGGATAGAGCCAGGCATTTGAGCCGATCTACTTATACCTCTACAGAAAACCTCTTATGAGCTTCTCATCTTTTCCCTCAAATACTGGGATGTCCATTCTCAATACCTCTGAAATGGAAATCTCTATTTTCTACTTGGTTGGGATCCCAGGTTTGGAGCATGCCAATATTTGGATCTCTATCCCCATATGTCTCATGTACACTGTTGCTATCCTAGGGAATTGTACCATTCTGTTTTTCATAAAAACAGAGCCTTCTTTGCATGAGCCCATGTACTATTTTCTCTCCATGTTGGCTCTCTCTGACCTGGGACTATCCCTCTCCTCTCTCCCTACCATGTTAAGGATTTTCCTGTTCAATGCTCCAGGAATTTCCCCTGATGCCTGTATTGCTCAAGAGTTTTTCATCCATGGATTCTCAGCTATGGAGTCATCTGTACTTCTTATAATGTCCTTTGATCGCTTTATTGCCATCTGCAACCCCCTGAGATACACTTCCATCCTCACCAGTGCCAGAGTCATTCAAATTGGGCTTGCTTTTTCTCTCAAAAATGTTTTGTTGATCCTCCCATTTCCTTTCACTCTAAAACATCTAAAATATTGTAAGAAGAACCTCCTGTCCCAATCCTACTGCCTCCATCAAGATGTCATGAAACTGGCCTGCACTGACAACAAGGTCAACATCATCTATGGCTTATTTGTGGCTCTCACAGGCATCCTAGACTTGACATTTATTTTCATGTCCTACATGTTGATACTGAAAGCAGTGTTGAGCATAGCATCATGAAAGAAAAGGCTCAAGGTCCTCAATACATGTGTTTCCCACATCTGTGCTGTGCTCATCTTCTATGTGCCCATTATCTCCCTAGCTGTCATCTACCGGTTTGCCAAACACAGTTTCCCAATCACTAGGATCCTCATAGCTGATGCTTTTCTGCTGGTGCCTCCATTGATGAACCCCATTGTATACTGTGTGAAGAGCCAGCAGATAAGAAATCTTGTCTTAGAAAAACTGTGCCAGAAGCAAAGCTGAAGCGGATGCTTAACCACATGATGCTTAACCCAAAGTCAAGAAAACAAGCAGAATAGATCAATAAGAAAACATACTATGTTAATCACTTTACAATATAATTTCTCAATCTGTTCATTAGGATTAAAGAATCAAACTTGCAAATCTGTTGGTTCAGTATTCAGGCTTGGGACTCTTATGTAAATAAAATGTATTCCCAGGTTTCACTCTTATGCAGTTTCCCTTACCACTCCTATGAACACAATGTATTCTTGTCATTTTCATAATGATTAAAATAATATTGTCTATGTTAATTTGAAAATTAATGGTATACACTTACATGATAACTGGGCAGTGATCAGAGGTGACCAAAGACTACCTCTTTATTTAAAGTACTTATTTTCAGCACATATTTTTGACATCTTTGAGATATGTGCTTGTTCTCAGGAATTGAAATTAAGATGGGCAATAACACTCTTGAACATGAAACTATTCAAAAAAACTAACATGCATACATGAAAAATATAAAAATAAAATAAACAATGCTTTATTTACTCATTTTATTTAATTCAATATCTCCTTCCTTAACATGAAATGTCATTTTCTAAGGTGACAGATTCCTGTCTTTGACATTTCAATGGGAATTCTACCTAATGACAAAGACTATCTCCTCTACCCAGGTTCCTCTGAACTGTGTTCTCAACTTGGCCTTGATTTTCATATTTATCTCCATATTGTTCGATTTTAGCAAGAGTCATGCTAGGTCAGTTTAACCAAAGCCCCTTCCCCTCCATATCTGGTTACTCTAGATGTTTAATTGATTTCCTCATATTCTACCATTCCCACTTGATATGTGATAATTCTGGCTTGCTGATAGCAAGAATCCTGTTAGGTCAATTACATGCTTTGGACATTTGTCCCCTCCTGATCTCATATTAAAATTTAATCCCCAATGTTGGAGATGGGGCCTAGTGTGGAGTTGTTTGTGTCATGTGGGTGAATCCCTCATGAAGGGCGTGGTACCATTCTTGCAGGATTGAGTGAGTTCTCACTCTATGTTCCTGTGAGATCTGGCTGTTAAAAAAAGAGCCTGGCTACTTCTTCCTCTTTCGTTTTATCTTGCTTCCTTCCTCTTGCCTGTGATACCTTCTCCCTTTCCCCTTCCACCAATGAGTAGAGGCTTTCTGAGGATCTCGCCAGAACCAGATATTGGTGTCATGTTTCTTGTACAGTCTGCAGAACTGTGAGCCAAATAAACCCATTTTGCTATAAAGTACCTAGACTGAGACATTTTCCTTTACAGCAACACAAAACAGACTAAGCCAAAATCTTCCCTACTCTTGATGTTTCCTTTTAATAATTTTCTACTTAGTAACCTATGTCCCCAACCTTACTCCTTTTCCATACATTCTTACTTTTCACTGTTCATTTAGAGTTGAGCCCAATCCCTCTCCCTACAACAAGCTCCTATACATATCACGTTACTCTCTGTTAATAAAGTTTTTCTTACTGTTCTTTAAGCATCATAAGTAATTTTTTCTTTAATGTTTGAGGTGCCATGACTCAGGATCACATGTATCACTGGACCCCCAGACTTTTCACTTAGGACCCTGTGTACACACTTTTGACAGCCTGTTGAATGATAGTAAGGACAGATTTGATTCTTAAGGTTTTGTGTGTACTCAAGAAGCTGTGCTACAATCCCAGGTAAGCAGAAACTGAGTTAGAGGCCCAAGTTCAGGCTTCTCTCTTTGACAGGTAACTGCTGGGCTGGAAGTCTTTCTTCCTGGCTCTGTCTTGAGTGGGGATTATTCCTCAACTTTTGGGGTATGTGTTCTTCCTGGATCCTTATTTTGATTAAAATTTATTTCCTGATTTGTGAGCTGGAATTTTTTTCATGATGGTTTGTGAGAACGTTTTATTACTTCCATTTGATTCTTCTTTTCCTAATGGGAATTTCTCAGTCAATTGAAATTCCCTTCTTGAATATTTGCCGACTGTGTGCTCCACCAGGTCTATTCACTCCCTTCACCCCAGGCCGCATGCTGTTGCATCATGGCACCATTTTGAAAGCAGGGTGGCACCAGCACCATAAGCCCCTGCGGGGCCTGAGAATCAGCCCATCTAGGGCCTTTGCTGATATCACCACCACTGGCACCGGTGCACAATGCCTGATGACCTGAGGACAATCTTTCCTGGGTCTGCCACTGCCATAGCCACCACCAGAAATGCACTCCCAAGGGTTCAAGGACAGACCATTTGGTCTCACCAGCACCACTAAAAACAACCTTACTTAATACCAAGAAGGAACTGCTGTGCACTAGCACTTGCCCCTAAGGAGACTGATGACTGGCCCACCTGGCACCTCCATCCCCAGAATAGCCTCACCACAGCCTCCACAATAAACCTCAGCTTAAGTGGCTCACCTCTCTATACTCACTTGAACTCCCTGTACACATCAAGAGCTTTCAAGGTGCTCAGGAACCCCAAACAGCAATCATCTGAGGCAGAAAGAGGGGGAAAGGGTTAACTGAAAATAGACTGGATATTTTATCCACTCAGAGGAGCTTTGGAAACAGCCAGATTGCTGCTTGATGTTTCCTCAGGCACTTGCCTAAAAGGTAGCCCACAGCTTCTGTCAGATTATATATCAGAACAAAAGAAAATCATAAGAATTCCCCATAAATACTGGTTTAAAAAAAGATTTAGACCTTATTGAGTCAGTAACCTCAATTTATTCCATTTTTGTCAAAAATACTGTTTGGACAGAAATATAAATTGTATTAAAGATAAGAACTACTTTATATAAACCAGTGAGTTTTTTGTATTACTATGCTTTACTAACTCATAGCTAAGAATTTTAAAATGAAACGTATAAGATCTCTGTGGCTCGTCTGTGTGTTTATGCATTCATGTAAACATGTTATGTAGATGCAATATTTTTCTACTTCTGAATAGTATTACCAAATTAGTTTATAAAATACCTTAAAGGAGCTTTATTCAAATTGGCATGCAGATTAGTGAGTGCCTGTAAATGAAATATTCCTAAAATTCCTAGGAAAAAACTAAACAAAATTATTTTCAAATTTACTTGACATAGGCGTATCTTTGGCAAGTGAGCCTAGTTTAATAACGTTTGCTTAATAAAAACCCTTGTATCTTCTGAGTTATCAGCATTAAACATAATAAAAAGCATATTTTACTTTACTTGGGTTTAAAAGTTGAGTAAGGTAATAGTATATCTACTGGATGTTTAAAATTATGAAAATTATTCAACCTAGGAACATGTGCATGAGTAAAGATGCAGTTAAAATTAATTGTTTAATATAAATACTTTATGTATGTCAAGCACAGCAGTAAAACAAACAAACAAAAATAAACAAAAATGTATCTAACTTTTTAGGTTTCTACTTTTGTAATGTTTACCTAACATGCCTGTCATATAAAAAGGGTTAACAGGTAAATTACTTGAGATATGAGATAATGGCTAGCTTTGTTTGGTGTTATGTTTACCTTGAAATAATTTCCAGAATATTTTAGTAACTTGCAACCTTAATGTTAGGCTAAGTTTCATTAATAATAGATATTTGTTAAGTATCTAGGTCATTTCTAATAAGATAAACTAGTACAATATTCATTACTAAGCATAAGTTTAAGTTTACACTCTTTTGGCATCTTATTGTTATATGTTTTATATGAGTTACTTATACTTGAGTTCATTAATAAACGTTTTTGTCACATTGAAAAATTGTTCTATGAGTAAGTATATGCCTCTAGAAATTGTGAAATTATGTATTAATAAATTTGCAATCCTGTTACCGAATCTGGGCTTATGACAATTCACATTTGTCTATTTTCTGTTATAGTTTTCTCTGTAAAGAAAGAAACTGATGGTTAAAAGTTATAATCAATGTATGTGGACAAAACTACTTAAATAATAAGGAAAACAACTCTGTTTAAAAAACATTTAAGGAAAGTCCAGTGTGTTTTCAAGAAGAAAAAGTATGAAGTATGAAAGATATGATGTTGTTTAGGAAAGAAAAAGGTAATTGTATTCTAAAGTAATTTCATTCTAAAGTATGACTGGGTATTCCTGAATGAGGAAATGAAAACTCACATGGATATTTTTCAAAGGTATAGATTGCTTGTAAAGAGGAATTTTATGTGTGGTCAAGTTGACTAAATATGTAAGTGGATTTATTTATTTTTATTAATTATCTTTAATGTCAAAATTATACAGATGCAAGACAAAAATGACAAACTTTCATGGATTATTTGTCTGCTCTTAATAAGAAATTGTAAAAGTGTTTTTCTATACCTTTTTAGTAATCTACTAGAAAACCAAAGTTCTGTGTCTTATCAGAATAGTTTGCTACATTTTATGCTATTTATGCTATGATAAAGACTATTTAAGAGATTATTTTAAGAAAATAATTATTTAAGAGAATCAAGTCTTCACACTTTTAAAATAACTCTTTTTTTTTATTTTTGAAAATGTTGCCTTTCCAAAATCAAATCCTAAATGAAATCTTCTTGTTCTTGAATTGATCTTGAGATTTCCCAGAGGGCCTCTGAAAACTCTCAAAGGATTTGTTCTTTCACCATGTAGAGAAAAGTTAAAAAATAATTTGGTTTATTTTGCTTGCTAAATTTCATGGAAACATTGTCAAATAAAAAAGATAATTAACCTTTCCTAGGTTATATTTGTATTGTCAAAATGTTATTATTTCAGCAATCATATAAAGTTAATAGAAATTTGTGAATTATTTTTCTGTTTACGGTATGCTCTAATATAATGCTATCAGCAGTAATTCCAGGTATTATTTTTGTTGGGTGTCACAGAAGCAACCAAATATCTTGTCAAGCTAACTCTTATTGGATCTTTAGAACTGAATGGATTCATGAAACTGCTAACATAAAACCAAGCAAAACAAAATATATTACATGGGACTGAATGAACTCATAAAGAATAATTAGGGGTTTTGTTTTGAAACACTGCTGATTCTTTCAATGTCCTATTTTCTGAATAAAAGAATCCCCTTTCCCTTTTCTCTCAAGCAATATGTAAGTTACAGAAATTTAGTAGATTATGTGCTGTAAACAAATATGAAACATTTTTCTTTTCTCCCTACCTGATCCCTTCAAAATTTGGAAACTTTTATTGACTATTCTTATATCTTTGTAAAATAGTTATCAGATAAGTTCAAAAAGAATCTGTAACAGGACACCATTGAAAAAACTGATTTTATTATCAAAGTTTTGGTTACAATATTATGTTTGAGAATGATGTACTTAGAATCAAATATAAGGAAGCAAGGTTGACTTTATGAAGCCAAAGCTTAATAAAGCCTTCTAGGAAAAAAACAGCCTGACACCTGGCTTACACCGTTCCCAGTAAAGAAGTTCCCTTTCTGGTAGGTACAGGAACCTCAGAATATCTTGGGGACCTCAAGAAGAGAATAAATTCACACAAATCTCTAGGTATTGCAAATGAACTTTGGTGGTAAGTTCTTGGCTTGGCTTCTTGGCCTTGAAAGAATATTTAAAATCAAATTTGAGATTCTTATGAAAAGTTTCGGTAAAGAAAACGTATAAGGCCTTTGCAGTTAATTGCGATTCTTGCTGCACTTACATAAATAATTAAGCCAAATCTAATGAGACCAGACTTTTTTGTGATTAAGAATTGTAAAGAGAGCTGAATATAAAGAGTAATTTTGTTTCACTGGGAAATTACAGTACTCCCTTATTGAGTACCACTTTTACTTTCTTCTAAAATCTGACTACAACTCTCCCAATTAATATTTCCAATTTTTCTTCTACCCTTCTGACTTGGCATTACTGAGAATAAAACTATCCTTTCACCAAACCTTTTAAGCTGAAGCTGGACAACTTGTTATAAACTTCAAAGTATATCTTCTTGCCTGCTGGTGTGTGAACCACTCAGAAATTTACCAAATCACCTGACACTATCACTAGAGGCCTTGCAAATGCAAACAAAACCTTTAGTCATATTGCCACTGCCATCCTCACTCCACCATCTAAAGATACATTGAGCTCAACAGGTAGAAATCCCTACTAGCTGCCCTCTGAGAGTTTCAACTATCAATCTTTTAAAAAAGCTTTCACAGGAATTCCCTTCATTAAAGGCCTGACAGCTTGCACCATCCAGCAAATATCCTTGACTACAAAGTCTCAACAGATAAGATAGCTTGTCCTTAATGAACAAAATGGACTAACATCGTAACAGATAAGACAGCGTTTCCTTGATGAAAAAAAGACGACTAAGAAAATGAACTAACGTTGTTCACACTAAAGAAGAATCTCTCTTATTTCCTTGAACAAGAGGGTTGATGACAGAGAGTCTCACCTTGACCAAGTTCTACTCAGCCATCTCTGAACTCTCTTCTTAGCTAGCCTCAACTTTAGGATTTCTGTGTTTATCTCTGTATTGTTCAATTTAGCAAGAATCTTGCTAAATCAGTTTAACCAGAGCCATTCACCCTCCATATCTAATCACTGGAGATATCGAATCAGGCACCTTATCCTCTACCATTCCCCCGATGATGCCTGATCACCCTGGTGGATAGTGGAGTGAGGATGGCAGTGGCAAGCTGTTAGAGCAGTGTGGCCAGAGTACACCTGCACCCATACCCCTGATGTTTCCTCTTAGCAATTTTCTACCCACCAACTCCTCCTGCCCATCACTGCTCTGTTTTTGGCTATAAAGTCCTCCTTTTCCTTCTGTATTTGTTGAGTCTAATCTCTTTTCCCTATTGTAAGAGCACACTGTAGTAGTCACCCCCATAGCTATTGTCATAGTCTCCATGAATAAAGTCTTCCTTAAGGTTTCTTAAAAAGCGTCATGAATAATTTTTAACACTAATGCATAACTCATTGTACTGTACATATTTTTTCTCTCTCCCATACAAAAATGTAAACCACTTAATTTTTATAAAAAGGCAAATCATGGTGCTTAAACGGTATAAAAAATCCATTAAAGATGTTCTCATGTAATTTATTTTTTAAGTGAGGAAATGTGGCAAATGCTACAACTACTTAGAAGGAGAATTCACAGAACAGACATAGTCATAGGAGGAATGTTGATGTGAATTTGCATATAAGTATAGGAATGGATGCTTCCACAGTAGAAGAAAGTCCATGGAACCTCTATGAGACAGAATTTAGTTACGTGTCTCCATACATGAATTACTTTGATTCCTGTTAACCAATAAAACTTACGGAGTTGTAAAATGTCTCAAAGGCAACGAAAGAACAAATTCCCCATCTGTTTGGAATCAGATAACCCAGAAGGGTGTGCTCTAAGCAATGCATACTTTTCCATCAAAACACAACTTTTCCCTGTAGTCTTTCTAGTTTTTATTAAAAAGAATCATCTCAAAGAAAGATTAATATTGACCACAAAACAATACTTTCATTAAACTTGGCCTCATTATCTATGTAAGGAAAGGAAAAAGTTAATTTATCATCTAAGCCTCCTTAACCTTCTTAAAAATTTTCATAAGGAATCTCAAATCAGACATTTAAAAGCCACTTTTATATCTGTACCTAATCTAGAAATCCTAGTTCAAGAAACTCTCTTCATCAAATTGCTCCTTTAGGTATCTATAATTTAATGTAATATTTTATTTTCTCAAAGTCCACAAAATATCCCAAGGATCTCGGCTTGCTAGGATGTGATCTTTCTTAGCACTTCTAAGGGCTAGACCACATAAGCCAGATAAGAGGCTGGCTTACTTGGGAGAGATTTGTCAGCATTGGATCCATAAAGTCAACTATAGTTCCTTAAAAGTGGCTGGTCATATCTGATTAAACATTCTCCAATGTGATACTCCAGGAAAGTCCTTTGTTGGATAATCAACTTTAATTTTCAGTTCAGCGGTACATGTGCAGCATGTGGACAGGTTTGTTACATAGGTAAATGTGTACCATGTTGATTTGCTACACAGATCATTCCATCACCTAAGTATTAAGCCCAACATCCATTAGCTATTCTTCCTAATTCTTTCTCTCCTCTCAACCCCCAACTCTCCAACAGGTCCCAGTGTGTGTTGTTCCCCTGCATGTGTCCATGTGTTCCCATAATTCAGCCTCCACTTATAAATGAGAACACAAAGTATTTGGTTTTCTGTTCCTGTGGTAATTTGCTAATGATAATGGTCTCTAGCTCCATCCTTGTCGCTGCGAAGGACATGATCTCATTCATTTTACAGCTGCATAGTATTCCATGGTGTGTATGTACCACAGTTTCTTTATCCAGTCTATCATTTGTGAGCATTTAGGTTTATTCCATGTTTTTGCTATTATGAATGGTACTGCAATGAACATATGTGTGCACGTATATTTATAATAGAATAATTTATATTCCTTTAGGTATATACCGAGTAATGGGATTGCTGGGTTGAACGATATTTTTGCCTCTAGGTCTTTGAGGAATCACCACACTGTCTTCCATAATACTGGTACAAGAACAGACACATAAACCAATGGAACAGAATAGACAGTCCAGAAATAAGACCATATACCTACAACCATCTGATCTTCAACAAACCTGACAAAAATAAGCAATGGGGAAAGGATTCCTTATTTAATAAATGGTGCTAGGAAAACTGGCTAGCCATTATGCAGAAAATTGAAACTGGAAGTCCCCCTTACACCATATATAAAAATCAACTCAAGATGGATTAAAGACTTACCTGTAAAACTCAAAATTATAAAAACCTTAGAAGAAAACCTAGGCAATACCATTAAGAACATAGGCTTGGGCAAAGATTTCATGACAAAGATACGAAAAGCAATTGCAACAAAACCAAAAATTGACAAATGGGATCTAATTAAACTAAAGAGCTTCTGCACAGCAAAAGAAACTATCAACAGAGTAAAGAGACAACCTACATAATGAGAGAAATTTTTTGCAATCTGACCATCTGGCAAAAATCTAATATCCAGCGTCTATGGGAACTTAAACAAATTTACAAGAAAAAAATCAACCCCCTTAAAAAGTGGTCAAAGGACATGAATAGATACTTCTCAAAAGAAGACATACAAGCAGCCAACAAACATGAAAAAAAGCTCAACCTCACTGATCATTAGAGAAATGCAAATCAAAACCACGATGAGATGCCATCTCACACCAGTCAGAATTGCTATAATTAAAAAATTAAAAACCAACAGATGCTGGTGAGGTTGTGGAGAAAAAGGAACGCTTTTACACCATTGGTAAGAGTGTAAATTAGTTCAACTATTGTGAAGACAGTGTATCAATCTTTCAAATTGTATCATGCTTCAAAAGAAGTCAGGTTCTTATTGAACCTCTGTAAATAACACGTCATAAAAAGCAAGGACAAAGATCAGAAGGTTGTAGATGTTTGGCATTATTTCTGAGGCCTCTGTTCTGTTCCATCGGTCTATATATCCGTTTTGGTACAGTACCATGCTGTTTTGGTTACTGTAGCCTTGTAGTATAGTTTGAAGTCAGGTAGTATGATGCCTCCGGCTTTGTTCTTTTTGCTTAGGATTGTCTTGGCTATATGGGCTCTTATTTGGTTCCATATGAAATTTAAAGTAGTTTTTTCTAACTCTGTGAAGAAAGTCAATGGTAGCTTGATGGGGATAGCATTGAATCTATAAATTACTTTGGGCAGTATGGCCATTTTCATGATATTGGTTCTTCCTATCCATGAGCATGGAGTGTTTTTCCATTTGTTTGTGTCCTCTCTTATTTCCTTGACCAGTGGTTTGTAGTTCTCCTTGAAGAGGTCCTTCACATCCCTTGTAAGTTGTATTCCTAAGTATTTTATTCTCTTCGTAGCAGTTGTTAATGGGAGTTCACTCATGATTTGGCTCTCTGTTTGTCTATTATTGGTAGATAGGAATTTAAGTACATTCTGCTGAGTTGGAATCCCCAGGGCTTTCTTGGCTAATGGGAAAGCATCTGTTAGGCAGGATGAGACTTGGCAGATGAGGATAAATTCTTACATTTACACAGCAGCAAAACTCTGGTAAGTGTGTTCTGTTTCTATTTCCCCTGTACTTTGACATGTGGGCTCAACTATTTATCAACTTTCTGTTTAGCTTACTAATGTCACAGTTGCTACTTTGCCTTTGCACCAGCTCAACCCAGAAGTTCACATGCTTTTTGTTTGACTCTGTTCTCCAAGTGATTAAAATGCATGCCAGTACCCCAACTTGTCAAAAAGTCCAACAATGTATGTAAATGCAGGATCGAAGTCCAGAGTTGTGCCAACTTTCGGAAATCAACCAAGTGCTAAACCCGAATTACTATTTCAACACAGAAAAAAATTAAAATCCCGTACCTGGATCTGGCTTTTAGGTAACATTTTCCTGAATTATAGAATTACTGCCTTACACGTTGAAATAAGTTGTTTGGGGGTAGAGATATGTGAAACCACTGAGCTTGCAATGGGCATCTGTGAGAAAGCAACAGTGACCACTAGGAGTTTCTGCCTCTATCATCTGTCCTAACCCAGCACGCTTCTAATCAGGTTTAAATATTTGCTTTATATATATTTTTCTATTGATAAATAAGAAAGCAACCTTATGACTCTCCTAAAAATCTATAATTTCATAAGTTCTAAGTAATGTTGTGAGAGTGGGTTTTATATACATTTCATGTAATCACTTAATTGAAATACAGAGGTCTCCAAATTGAGACTAGGACTTTTAATTCATTCAGTGTATTTTAGTGTAAGTAAAATGATATCTGCTTATATGTGATTCTGAGACTTTAGAGGGAGGAGACAAAACAGCAATGTTATCAAGGAGCACACTACACACTGAGTTGCCGCTGCTTCCACTACTGATCTAGAACTTGACCAAGGATTTGAGGATTAATTTGTGCTTACCAGCAGATAGGATAGGAATAAATATACAAAAAACAAACAAACAAAAACAAAAAACAAAAGACACAGCACTCCAAGCAGCAGAAAAAAACAGGGGTTGCTCCAATTTTATAATGTTGAAAATGCCAATTCTGTTCTATGTATTTCCATATTAAAGGCAAATGATTTATAGTATTATTTATAGACAGGTATCCTTGAAACTGTTTTTCATTGATTACTGCACACTTCATTTCAGATGAGTTTGGGTCAGAATCTCAAAAGATACAATCCCGAATACCATAATTCAGAAAGTTGAAGTCCCAAAAGTTAAAAATTCTTAATGTTCATATCCCTGAAATCTAAAACCTCAAAAATTGCAATCTCCCAAAAATTAAAATCCCAAGTGTTGAAATTATGAAAGCCAAATTCTGAAGAATAGATTAGTACATTAGTACATTTTTGCCTGTCTGCAGGACGGTTGCATCATGTTAGATGAAACTATTACTTTGTTATTGTCTTTATTTGGAAATGAAGTATAGTTTAAGGAGATGCTTATGGTTGCCAAATTGACAAGGGGTGAACTTGTGGACTTAATTTTAGGTGTCAACTTGACTGGATTAAGGAATAGCTAGAAACCTGGTAAAATATTATTTTGGATGTGTCCGTGAGGGTATTTCCAGAGGAGATCAGTGTGTGCGTGTAAGAGGACTGGGTGGGAAATATCTACCCTCAATGTTGCTGGGCACCATCGAATCAGCCAGGGGCCCAGAGGGAACAGATACAGAAGCCAAATTAGTCTTTTACTGAAAGCTAGGACAGACTTTTCTACTGCTCCCTTGGACATCGGAAATTTAACTCCATGAAAATGCATTATCACAAAATTGACTTTGTGTGTAAACATATGCGTGTATGTAGAAACACTGAAACTTCCTTGGTAAATGAAGAAATATCCTTTAGGTACATCTGCAGTTGTGAAGACAAAATTTCTTGAGATCTCGGCTCTTTAGGTGACTATATGTGGTGATGACTCATCACACTATTTGACTGATCTCATCAAAAGGCTTAGGTTGCTCAAAACAGTATTTCAGATAATTGCAGTTATAAAGCTGAGTGCATACAATTACTGACTATAGCTTCATGCATTTATACATTTCCCTTTTTGACTTATCTTTTTATGTATACTGTTTGTTTGCTCAGTAACTATTATACCCCTGTGATTGTTGTTAATATATGCCTTTGCATTTATGCTTGCAAAAATATGTATGTCATTATTATATATTTTATTGTGTAAAGTGGCTTATGAAATGTTCTGCTATGCTTTTTATATTTCTCAAATAAATCCCCTTTTTAAATGTAAATAAATATATTTTAAATATTTTTTTCAGAAATGTATTTTCTGTATTTTGGCCTTTTGGTACTGTAATTTTTGGAGTTTTGGACTTTGGAGATTTTGATATTTTGAGATTTCAGCAATCAGGATTATTTCTTTCAGGATTATGATCAGATCCAATTGCAGATCACCCTCTGAAGCAATAGTATGGAAAAAGGAAGTTTTATGGTATATGTGTTTAGCAGATAATAGACCCACGTAGCAGCAACAGAAAACTTAAGTGGGTGGGGGGTGGGAATGATGTTACAGAGGCTGGATGTTTGTCTAGCCTGACTGGGCAGAGAGCAGGTCTTTGCATGTCAATAAAGATGTTTGACAGTTGAGGTGGAGTGGGGCATCATGACCTTTCTTAAGACAGAATAATCAAACTAACATTACAGAAAAAAAAAAAATCAGGCACATAGCACACAGGCATTTTTGAGCTCCATTGATACTAGTGGTTAAGTACTATCCAAAAACGTGAATGTAGTCACCATTCAATCAATTGCTTTTAAGATATTTATTTTCTTCCTATGTGCCAATTGCACCTAGAATTTTCTTTCTGTTCAACACTATTTAACCCATTATGCCATGTCCATTTGCTTCAAAATTTTATTTTGCTGAGAATATATTTATTACTAAATTGCTAATAGCCAACTTGGAGACAGAAGTCTCAGCAAGGCATTCTCCTGGGTGGGGGGGCGGGGCTGAAATGAAATTCAGTGAAAAAATTTCAAAAACTCAAAGAGAAGTGGTCACAGGTGTAACAGCTCAGAAGCACAGCAGCCATATGTTTTGATTTATGGATTGTGAGTCTAAAGGTGAGAAAAAAGATATAGGAGAAAAATGAATACACATACACACTCACACAGGCACAAACACATTCAAGAAAAAGAGGAATGGAGAAAAGTATTGTGAGAGTATGAGTATATTTAGAAAACAGTCAACAATAAACAAGTTAGGGCTGATTATATGCAAAATAAACCTCTAAGGGTCTTGTAACATACGTGAGGGCAATAGAGGACAAGAAAAGAAAATAAATCAACACAATAAATGATTGAACTGGATACCACTTAAAGAGATAATATGAATTCCCTGCACACTTTACTTCAGATCATCTTCTGAAGCAATGGTATGGAAGCAAGATGCTTTCTGGTGTGTTCAGGGGAAAATAGACCCGTGCAACAGAGGACTTAAGTAGGGGGAGTGATGACATTCTAGAGGCTAAAGTGTGTATAGCCTAGCAGAAGAGAGGGCAGGGATTGTGTTTCAATCAAGAGAGTTGACTTGGAAGATTTTTCTGACTTTTATTAAGAGAAGACAGAATGGTCAAACTCATATTTGAGGAAGACACATCCTATACCCAGCACAAAGGCATTTTGTAACAACTGTGGATATAATGGCCTCCTTTGATATTTGTGGTAAGTACCTTCCAAATTGCAATGTAATAGAAATTCAGTGAAATCTTGTAAGATTTTTTTTTTTTTTTTTTTTTTTTTTTGAGACAGAGTTTCTCTCTGTCGCCCAGGCTAGAGTGCGGTGGCGAGATCTCAGCTCACTGCAAGCTCCGCCTCCCGTATTCACGCCGTTCTCCTGCCTCAGCCTCCCGAGTAGCTGGGACTACAGGCGCCCGCCACCACGCCCGGCTAATTTTTTGTATTTTTAGTAGAGACTGGGTTTCACCGTGTTAGCCAGGATGGTCTCGATCTCATGACCTCATGATCTGCCCGCCTCGGCCTCCCAAAGTGGTGGGATTACAGGCGTGAGCCACCGCGCCCGGCCTATCTTCTGCATTTGTTAATTGGATCTAGAAATTCCTCTGTATTCTCTGCTAGTTATCCTATTATTTCTTGTTCATCTCCTTCAAAACTTTATTTTGTTGTGGGTATGTTTATTACTAACCCTCTGATAAGCAACTTAGAGACAGAAATCAAACTAAGCAAGGGATTCAACCTGAGGAAATGTAGTTTAATTCAAGGAAAACAATTCAAAAGCTCAAGAGGCGTAACTACAGGAATAGCACCTCAGAAACACAGCAGGCATATATTGTTATAGATGGTAAGTTAGAGAAAAGAGAAAAGATACAGGAGAAAGAAAAATACAAATTAACAAACCAGATAGATACAGATAGATGATAGATGGATATAAATGATAGATGATAGAGAAGATAGATGGTTGATAGAGACATGATAGATAGATAGACAGATAGATAGATATGAAAAGAGAGAAGCAGAGTAAGGCATTATGAGATTTTAAGAATATTAGGAAAGAATCAACAATAGAAAAATCTGAACTTGTTCTATAGAAAATAAATAAGACTCTTGCATCATATGAGATTGTAACCAGCAAAAGGGTGCAGCTACTCACTACTTCTAGAAAGAAGCAAAAAATAAAAAGAGTGAGATACGATAGAAAAAGGGTGAGCTTTATTGTTCGCGCTAGCAAGAGGTAAAAACGGCAGGAATTATTTCGAAAAATTGTCACTTTTCCAAATTCTGGACAGAGCACAAGGGCTTTAAGAAGAGGGGATTGAAATGCAGAAGAGGAAGGGGGGATAGGAGGTGCCAGCTGCTGTGACTTGCTCCAATGTCTTATCTTGAATTATTGTTCCATCTAGTGAAGGAGCTGGCGCCATCATGGGCCCAACCAGATTACAAATTAATTGCAGTTAATCTCACAGTTAAACTCTTGTTGGGAGTGAATTCTGGCCTTGGAGTAATTTTCTGCTGGGAAGACAATTCTGGAGGTGCCTAGTTGTGTCAAAATTAAGCCTCTGAAGCTTCTAAGGAAATATATGCTGGGAGGCTGAAGCAAGCGGATCACCTGAGGTCAGGAGTTCGAGACCTGCCTGGCCAACATGGCAAAACCCCATCTCTACTAAAAATACAAAAAAATTAGCTTGGGTGTTGGCTCACACCTGTAGTCCCAGCTACTTGGGAGGTTGAGGCAGGAGAATCGCTTGAACCTAGGAGATGGAGGTTGCAGTGAGGCGAGATCCACTGCACTCCAACCTGGGTGACAGAGTGAGACTCTATCTCCAAAAAAAAAAGAAAAAAAAACAGAAGTGTGTGTGATAAATGAGCATAGTGTGAGTTTAACAGGCAACCAGAATAACAAATGTGCATAAGGTGTGGGAGTGTAAGGTGGAGTTTTATACCTCATTTTCAGGCTGTATTTCAAGATAAGAGAAAAACATCTGCAGTTTTTCTCATCGGGGGAAAGGACGAAAGGAATAAAAAAAAGTTTTACAACAAGTTGGAAGCTATGCTGCCCAATTACAAGAGGACAAAGAAAGAGGAAAAAAGAATAAGGCATTATGATGAGCAATTGACCTGGATGCCCTTTGTAGAATAATGCCAATTTTCTACAAATTGGTGTGAAAGCAGAAGATATAGATTAACTTTACTTTTATTTGCAAATATATTCTTTAACTCTTTGGAATGTTTATGTTTTTACAATGATGTAAACACATTTTCTTCAAAAAAATTGCTTTTATGCCAGTATGAAACAGCAGGCAGGCATTGTTTATATTTAAATGTGTGTATCTTAATTTAAAAATTGCCTTTTACTTCTCACGAGCTACATTCAGTTCATAACTCTTTAAATATTGCTTGACCATCCTGACAGTGTGGTATACACCTAATTATCAGTAAAATAACAGACCTGAGTTGCTATCTTACCTCTACCCTACAACACTTCTGTGATCTTAAACAGACGACTTGATCTTGAGAAAAATTTTCTTCATCAGTAAAATGAAGATAATGATATAACTTGATTATATTATTTAAAAAATTTCAAGATTCCAAATCATCATCTGGTAATGGAACTCAGTAAGTAAAACAATTTAATTTTCTAAGAAATATTGGTCATTATTGTGTACAAAATGTAAGACAAAGAATCTCAGATATTTGGCTTGCAAATTCTTAAAGGCTTATTACTGAAGTAGGTCCCTTAAACTAGGAAGATTTGGTAAGGGAGAAAAACTTGTCTAAGTTGGACAAGTTGGTTTTAAGGGATATTTAGTTAGCGATGTCTAATGGGTCCGGGGAGATGGATCCAGGATTCAGGAATAAAATCTAGGATAACACATTGTGTCCCAGGATGTTTGTCCTGCAACACTTCCTTGAATGCAGAATCAACTCATAGCATCTCTGCTTAGACTTGGCCTTGTGCAGAGGAGAAATACACAAGCCAACTATCCATTCAGAAATATCCAAGCTTTTGCAGAGAATTTACCATGTCTCTCTAATACCTGCCAATTAAGGACCTCTCTCCAAACAAATCATCCCTTATTACAGGTGTTACTAGATGTTGTTTTAGTTTCCTTGGTAACAACTATCTCTGTAGATTTACTGTATCTACAAATGTTTATTCCAATTTTCAGAAAAGATCCACCCTGGCTGCAATCCCCAGAGAACTCTGTGACCCGAGAGCCACTGGTTAGGTAAAAGTGAATAAGAGCAGTCTTTTGTGGCAGATAAATTCAGCAATGCCTTGGGTTTGTATATCAGGATTCTTTAGCTTTTATCAAAAATGCCCGCCAAAATATCCACTCTCTGGTAAGTGCCCAGATATTCTCATTTATTTGGCTTTCACTTGACTTCTTTTTTGGCAACTGATCACATAGAACTGAAGATCACAACATACATCTGAAAGAAAGAATTAGTATAGCATTCCAGTTAATTCACTAGGATTTACTCATATTTTACAGGAAAAATAAAATCAGACGTGTAACTAACTGCAAAATTTAAACCTGGATTCTCTATAGAAATAACATGTCCAGAAATAATTTTCCCAATGCATTAATAGACAGATTCTACTCTAAAGTATTACCCATCTCTCTTCATTATGATAGCCACATAAATGCTTTGTTCTCTCAAAAGAAAGCTGAAAGAAGCCACAAATTTTAACACTGCTTTTTTTCTACTAAATTTACAGATATGCCTATTTTACCAACACAAGCAAGCGGATCACCTGAGGTCAGGTGTATCTGTATTTTTCATAGCAGAGCCCTATGAATGAATCATGTCCATTATCAACACATCATATGTTGAAATCACCACCTTCTTCTTGGTTGGGATGCCAGGGCTAGAATATGCACACATCTGGATCTCTATCCCCATCTGCAGCATGTATCTTATTGCTATTCTAGGAAATGGCACCATTCTTTTTATCATCAAGACAGAGCCCTCCTTGCATGGGCCCATGTACTATTTTCTTTCCATGTTGGCTATGTCAGACTTGGGTTTGTCTTTATCATCTCTGCCCACTGTGTTAAGCATCTTCCTGTTCAATGCCCCTGAAACTTCTTCTAGTGCCTGCTTTGCCCAGGAATTCTTCATTCATGGATTCTCAGTACTGGAGTCCTCAGTCCTCCTGATCATGTCATTTGATAGATTCCTAGCCATCCACAATCCTCTGAGATACACCTCAATCCTGACAACTGTCAGAGTTGCCCAAATAGGGATAGTATTCTCCTTTAAGAGCATGCTCCTGGTTCTTCCCTTCCCTTTCACTTTAAGAAGCTTGAGATATTGCAAGAAAAACCAATTATCCCATTCCTACTGTCTCCACCAGGATGTCATGAAGTTGGCCTGTTCTGACAACAGAATTGATGTTATCTATGGCTTTTTTGGAGCACTCTGCCTTATGGTAGACTTTATTCTCATTGCTGTGTCTTACACCCTGATCCTCAAGACTGTACCGGGAATTGCATCCAAAAAGGAGGAGCTTAAGGCTCTCAATACTTGTGTTTCACACATCTGTGCAGTGATCATCTTCTACCTGCCCATCATCAACCTGGCCGTTGTCCACCGCTTTGCCGGGCATGTCTCTCCCCTCATTAATGTTCTCATGGCAAATGTTCTCCTACTTGTACCTCCGCTGATGAAACCAATTGTTTATTGTGTAAAAACTAAACAGATTAGAGTGAGAGTTGTAGCAAAATTGTGTCAATGGAAGATTTAACAGTCATATGTGACAGAAAACCTGGAAATGTCTGGTAAGATATTTAAGGTAAATTTGAGAAACCTAATATTTGACACCAAGAATTATCAACACATATTTTTATCGTTATCACAGACTTATTTTATTCACTCTAGATACTGAGAATGGGAATAAAACTGTAACCAGGAAGTACGTTGCCTTATGTCCCCATTTCAGTTAAGCAGAATAAAAATAAATGTCTTATGATAGCACCTCTGATACAAACAACAAATTACAACCAAGACAGAAAAACGATAATTTTTACAGTTCTGACAGAAGTTGGATTCCTCGTTATCTACATTCAGTCTCTCTATACCAGGTTCTTTTACTGCTAGACCCAAATTTTATATTATATCTGTCTCTCTATCCATTTTAATCATGTTAGTATGTCACCATCTTTTTTAAATTCCAGCTTTTATATTTGATATGGGTTGGATTTTTACATGGGTATTGGACCCAGGTAGTGAGCATAGTACCCAACAGATAGTTTTTCAGTCCAATCCCCGCCCCATCATTTCCCCACCCTAGAAGTCACCAAGCATTTCTTCAGTAAAATATTGCTAAGTTCCCTGCCTTATAAAAGATTCGCTATGCAAGGCAAGAGTAATTAAAAAGGCAAACTGAATATATGAGTGCCTCTTTTAAATTTGAACTCTCACTTCTTTAGAAATACAATTAAATCAATAAAGAAATTTTTTTTGAGACGAAATCTTGCTCTGTAGCCCAAGCTGGGGTGCAGTAGCACAATCTCTGCTCACTGCAACCTCCGCCTCCCAGGTTCAAGCGATTCTCTTGCCTCTCAGCCTCCCGAGTATCTAGGATTACAGGCGCATGTCACCACGCCTGGCTGATTTTTGTATTTTTTGTAGAGACAGGGTTTCACCATGTTGGCCAGGTTGGTCTCAAACTCCTGACCTCAAGTGATCCGCCTGCCTTGGCCTCCCAAAGTGCTGGTATTACAGGCGTGAGCCAACACGCCAAGCCGAAGGAAGAACATATTCCGAGACCCTACATGAGCTGGACCCTTTCTACTTGTTCAACATCATCAGATATTCATTAATCTCCAGCCACATTGACCTACTGAATCGTTTTTGAATTTACAGAGCTCTTTTCTTCCTGTGAGTTTTCACATCAGAACTCTTTTGTTAAAATGCTTGACACCAATTTTGTGTAAGGCATTCCTTTTCTTTTTTCTTTAAATGTTGGCTTAATTTCATCATAAATTACCTAGCCCAAGCTTGTATTATGACCCTCTCTTTTATCTCTTTTATTACTTGTTTATTCTTTATTCTTTATTATACTTAATATTTGCAATTATAGATAACTTTTGTGCTTATTTCATTTCTTTCTACTTCTTGAATAAAGTGTATTATGAGCGATTGAAGAAACCTATCTATTTTCTTTAATTTTTCCTACCTAATGTCTAGAACATTTCTGATGAAGAGTAGAGTTCAATAAATAAATGCTAATGAATGATTTTAAAAATAAGACCATGTTTGTAGAAAAACTTGCTCTCTGAAGAGTTTAGTAATATTTATTCATGGTAGGATACAATTTTCTTAAATTGTCTATTTCAAATACAGGCGTATCATTGATGCTAAAGATTTTTAAAACAGGAAAAAAGATATGGTACAAAGAGAAATTTATTGCTTTAGATTTGTGGCTGAAAAATAGTCCAACTTTCCTTCCCACTATGACCTCAAAATCTTGCATATTGTGAAAACCACTTTAGCCTTTTCATTTTACCCACTCGTTGAATCAAGTCATTTCCATCAACCATGCCAGTTCAAGTCTCCTACACTTCATCCTCAGGTAAATCAAGAAACACCTTCCAGGAATGTCAAATGCTTAAAAAAAATAATCAGCCCACAGCTGACAGTACCTCCCAATTAATGGAAAATTTTAATAGATACAAGTATTGCTTTCAAACCTCTAATACATGCACGATGTGCTTCCAGGTATTTTTAGGCATTTTAAAAAAGCTATTTTTCACAATGACCCAGCTTTTTATAAAGGGTTTTTTCTTATTTATTTTAGTTGAAGAGATTGAGGCTCTGAGAGTTTGATTTTATGAAACTCACACAGAGAGGAAATCAAAAGCTGGGATTCAAACCTAATCTCTGATACTCCAGGATAGTATTATCTTGAGTACATTTTAGTTTTTAAATTCAGAACTACATATGTTTTCACAAACCTGTCCTAGTATAGGAAATCCTATTATCAGATCAGGGCAAGAACTGCTTCTGTGTTCAAGGTGCGTAACTATATCCATCTGCCTTTTCCAAAGTCTTACAAATACAGATATGGGTTTGGGGTTGTAGTACAACAAAGCAGTAGTTGACATGCTTTATTAATTGAAAGAAACAGAAGCTCCTATTCTCTCAGGGTGAGGATAGGCAGCTCAATATAAAGACTTCATTTCCACTAACAAGATGAGGAGCAATTAGTTGGCTTTAATAAGCATCTTATTCTTTCAGGATATTGTACATAGATGTCTCATTCAAGAGTCTCAAAGATAATCTGTATTTTTGGGGTTTTGGGCAGTCTTAATAAAATAAAATGAAAAATAAAATACAGATACATGAATGCCTATGGGGGAGGTGATGATTTATGGTGAACATAATGATTTGCACATGTTCCTGAAATGAAGAACATGGCAAACAACAGCAAACCCAATATTATCTTAAAGAAACGTAAACATTCTGAGGTAAAATATCATAACAGCAGACAGACTTGAATTAAAAGTTGTAGGAACCTTGTGAGCTACAGGACACTTAAGTGCTGCAAAGAAGTTGTTATCACCGCTAACTTACATGCTTCAGCTCTCTGTTTTGTTTCTATACGTGTTTTGAACAAAACTAACCCACGTAGTTTGCTAAATCGTGGGCAGACAAATAGGCAGTAGAGCACTTTTTCTCTCTCAATGAAGAGAGGAGAGAGAACTGTCACTCTCAGATCCACTTAAAAGAAAAATGTTTAATAGCTTCCTTAATATTCTAAGCAGAAGTAATCAGTATACCAAGGATAAAAACTTAATGTGACTGGTGCAATTGGTTCATATGCCAATCTCTGTGCCACAACCCCTATCACTGTGACTGTGATATATTAAAATGGCCATTCTCTTTCCAGAAAGTTTGGAGAAATGGTATCAGACAGGAACAAACAACATAAAAATTATTTTTTAAGAAACCTAACAACCCAGTATTTATCTACTAGAACAGCCAATAATGGCAGAATCACTTCAGTGAGAAACAATAATAACAAAAATATTATTTACAAAAAATGATCACTAAATGATAATCTAAGAAATCAGTTTATGTAACAGCCTGGAGAGAGTTCACTGGTAGCACTTTAAAAAGCATACATTATTCTGCATCAGTGATTAAGTACCTTTGTACCTAGCAGTAATTGTGACTCATGGAGAAATCAAGCCATCAAAGACAGACAGGTACCCAGAAATATGCCATTTGAACTAATGGCACTTATTCTGGAGTCATGAAAATTTTACATTTCAATCTTTATGGTAAGGCATTAAAATCACCCAGGGAGCTCTCAAAAGTTGTGATATTCAGGTTAACATCATAGTCAATTAAATCAGAATACCTAATTCAATTTTACCCATTCACATGTTGATGAATATTAGAGTCTTTTTCAAATGTTGGCTAATATGATAAAGTTCCTATAGACATTCTTAGAATGTGTTTGCTTGAAACAGGAACTAACTTTTTTAGAAATGATATTTTAAGTCATAGGGTAGGTATTTATGTACCTATAGAAGATAATGCTAAACTTTGTCACCAAAGAACTTGCACTGATTTACACATCTAATAGCAAAGTGTAAGCATTCTAGTTCTCCACATATTCACCACAATTTGGGATTGTTATTCTTTTTGATGTTAGCCATTCTAATGGGTATGATATAATACCTCATTGTGATATTAATTTGCATTTTTCCAAATGCAAATTGAACAGTGCAAGTCAAGTGCATTGCCTATTTTTTACTGAATTTTACTTATTCATTTGCAGTTCTTTACATATCATTTGTCAGATATATATAATAATAATATTTTTTTTTGATGAGAACATTAGAAATTTACTCTTAGAAATATTGAAATACAGAGGACTCAAATATTAGCTATATTCAGCATGCTGTGCTATTGTTATAAAATAATCGAATTTATTCTTTCTAACTTTTTACCTTTTGACTATCATCTCCAGACTCCCCCCATCCCCATCATCTAGTATTCATCATGCTACTTTGTTTCTATGAGTTCAATTGTTTTAGATTCCACATCTAAGTGAGAACATGCAGTGTTTGTCTTTCTGTGCCTGGCTTATTTTATTTAACATAATGTTCTCCAGTTCCATCCATGTTGTAGCAAATGACAGAATTTCATCCTTTTTTTAAGGCTGAGTACTATTCCATATGATGATATTATTTATTCCCAGAGGTCTTTCCATGGAAATGCTTTCTATTAATTAATTCTGTCTATGAAATTTGTTTTTCCTGGTTGTATCCATGGTTATCCCAAATCATGAAAATATTACCATAGTTTTTCTACAAGATTTTTTGTTTTACCTTGAATACTTAGGCCTATTGTCCAACTCAAATTAATGTTTTGATAAAACTCAAGATTTCTTTCTTTCTACTTGCATTTAAATTGCTCTATCTATTGTAAATACCATCTATTCCTTATAGAATTGTGTCACTGTCATAAATCAAGTGAACCTGAATATCACAACTTTTGAGAGCTCCCTGGGTGATTCTAATGCCTTACCATAAAGATTGAAATGTAAAATTTTCATGACTCCGGAATAAGTGCCATTAGTTCAAATGGCATATTCTGGGTACCTGAAATGGGTATGTATACCCTGAAATGGGTATACATACATTAGTTCAAATGGTATACATTAAAATAAGTTTAGTGTTTTATCTCTTTATTCTTTCAGTTTTGTTAAATTATGGATTTTTTAAAACTTGTTAAGGAATGAAATTTCTGCTTTGATGACATTATTTTATATCATATTTCTATTTTATTCATTTCTGATTTTACCAGTTTATTTTCTTCATTTTTTTGGAGATTTTGTTGTTATTCCTTCACTATCTTCTTGAAATAGAAGTTACATTTTTTGATTTTTCAACTCTTATTTCCTAATAAATAAATTTAACCTATAATTTTCTGTATAGGAACTGCTTTAGCTGTATCTCATCTGTATGATTTGCCCCCCTTCACTATTATTTCAGTATATGGGGCCAAGAGAAACCTCAACTGATTTGCAACATTTTGTTTTTTACAAGAACAATACTTCACGTCTCTAGAATGAGATATTAATAATTAATATACATGCCTCATTTTATTATTATAATTATAGCTGTATATTAATATTCTTTGTACATAAATAACACTTTTAAAACATATTATGTAAATTAAGTTGAAAATTAATACTAGATTACAATGTAAAAATCCTTGAGAATAGTTTTTACAATTGCTAAAACCCATATTTTTATTTCATAGCAAACGTAGCACAATGGGAAAAATAATAATAAAGATAAAAAAGATGCCAGTTTAAAAAATACAATCATTTATTCATTCAACAAGTATTTAATAAGCTACTATATGCCATCCACCATGATAGTAATGCACTGCCTGTCTTACTGTAGCTTACTTTAAATTGTCATGAAACAAATTGATTTGGTCCACAAAGTTGAACATTGAGCCAATGAACACATGAACATTGAGCCAATGAGCACATGTCCTTGTCAAAGCAATTTTCACACACACAAACATACACAAACTTTCTGCTATCTCTTTAATAAGAAGTACCTGGAGAAAGCTAAGAGAAAAAGCAACAGTGGAAGGAGAGAATTCTTGACAACATAACCAAGTGGGGCTTATTTTCATTGGGGATGCAAACAGTAGGCAATTGGCAACTAAGAAGTAATCATCACATAGTTTAAAAGAATTTATGGGAAGGTTATGGTAATACATTCTTATATTTCCACTCTTTAGTCAAGTAAATATTGAAATCCTTCCAATGACTATTTACTAATAGAGGTGAGTATATAGTTTTTTTCTCCTCAAGAGCCTTTTCCTTAGGATCTCTATACTAGCATGATTTTCACTGTTGCAAAGATTTGCAACTGTAGGACCAAATGTTTCATCTTATCCACTAGAATCAACTAGTAGTCAGTTTAGAATGCTAAAAATAATACACAATTCCAGCTGTACATTCAGTTCATAACTCCTTAAATATTGCTTGGCAAACCTGATAGCGTGCTATATACTTAATTATCAGTAATATAACAGACCTGAGTTGCTATCTTACCTCTACCCTACAACACTTCTGTGATCTTAAACAGAAGACTTCATCTTGAGAAAAATTTTCTTCATCAGTAAAATGAAGATAATGATATAACTTGATAATATTATTTAAAAAATTTCAAGATTCCAAATCATCATCTGGTAATGGAACTCAGTAAGTAAAACAATTTAATTTTCTAAGAAATATTGGTCATTATTGTGTGTAAGACAAAGAAGCTCAGATTTTTGGCTTGTAGATTCTTAAACATAAAGTCTTATTACCGAAGTAGGTCCCTTAAACAGGGAAGATTTGGTAAGGGAGAAAAACTTGTATAAGTTGGACAAGTTGGTTTTAAGGATATTTAATTAGTGATGTCTAATGGGTCTGGGGAGATGGATCCAGGATTCAGGAATAAAATCTAGGATAACACATTATGTCCTAGGATGTTTGTCCTGCAACACTTCCTTGAATACAGAATCAACTCACAGCATCTCTGCTTAGACTTGGCCTTGTGCAGACGAGTAATACACAAGCCAACTATCCATCAGAAGTATCCTAGTTTTGCAGATAATTTACCATGTCTATCTAATACCAGGCAATTAAAGACCTCTCCAACAAAATTGTTCCTTATTACAGACCTAGATGTTTGTTTCCTTGGTATCAACCATCTCTGTAGATTTACTGCATCTGCAAATGTTTATTCTTATTGTCAGACAAAATCTAGCCTTGCTGCAATCCCCAGAGAACTCAGTAATCCCAGAGCCAGTGGTTAGGTAGAAAGAATAAGACAAGCCCTTATATATAAGAGGAGTCTTTTGTGGTGGACAAGTTCAACAATACCTTGGGTTTGTATATCAGAATTATTTAGCTTTTATCAAAAGTGCTTACAAACATATCCACTTACTGGTAAGTACCCAGGTATTCTCATTTATTTAGCTTTCATTTGACTATTATTACTGGCAATTAATCACATAGAACTGAAGGTCAGAACATAGATCTGAGAGCAAGAAATAGAAGATTCCAGTTAATTGACCAGCGTTTACTAATATTTTACAGGAAAAAATGAAATCAGATGCGTAACTAAATACAAAATTTAAATCTGGATTCTCTATAGAAATAACATGTCCAGAAATAATTTTTCCAATGTATTATACGACAGATTATAGTCCAAAGCAGCAACCAACCATCTCTCTTCATGATGATAGCCACATAAATGCTTTGTTCTCTCAAAAGAAAGCTGAAAGAAGCCACAAATTTTAACACTGCTTTTTTTCTACTAAATTTACAGATATTCCTATTTTACCAACACAAGCATCTGTATTTTTCATAGCAGAGCCCTATGAATGAATCATGTCCATTATCAACACATCATATGTTGAAATCACCACCTTCTTCTTGGTTGGGATGCCAGGGCTAGAATATGCACACATCTGGATCTCTATCCCCATCTGCAGCATGTATCTTATTGCTATTCTAGGAAATGGCACCATTCTTTTTATCATCAAGACAGAGCCCTCCTTGCATGAGCCCATGTACTATTTTCTTTCCATGTTGGCTATGTCAGACTTGGGTTTGTCTTTATCATCTCTGCCCACTGTGTTAAGCATCTTCCTGTTCAATGCTCCTGAAATTTCATCCAATGCCTGCTTTGCCCAGGAATTCTTCATTCATGGATTCTCAGTACTGGAGTCCTCAGTCCTCCTGATCATGTCATTTGATAGATTCCTAGCCATCCACAACCCTCTGAGATACACCTCAATCCTGACAACTGTCAGAGTTGCCCAAATAGGGATAGTATTCTCCTTTAAGAGCATGCTCCTGGTTCTTCCCTTCCCTTTCACTTTAAGAAACTTGAGATATTGCAAGAAAAACCAATTATCCCATTCCTACTGTCTCCACCAGGATGTCATGAAGTTGGCCTGTTCTGACAACAGAATTGATGTTATCTATGGCTTTTTTGGAGCACTCTGCCTTATGGTAGACTTTATTCTCATTGCTGTGTCTTACACCCTGATCCTCAAGACTGTACTGGGAATTGCATCCAAAAAGGAGCAGCTTAAGGCTCTCAATACTTGTGTTTCACACATCTGTGCAGTGATCATCTTCTACCTGCCCATCATCAACCTGGCCGTTGTCCACCGCTTTGCCCGGCATGTCTCTCCCCTCATTAATGTTCTCATGGCAAATGTTCTCCTACTTGTACCTCCACTGACGAACCCAATTGTTTATTGTGTAAAAACTAAACAGATTAGAGTGAGAGTTGTAGCAAAATTGTGTCAACGGAAGATTTAACAGTCATATGTGACAGAAAACCTGGAAATGTCTGGTAAGATATTTAAGGTAAATTTGAGAAACCTAATATTTGACACCAAGAATTATCAACACATATTTTTGTTGTTGTCATAGAGTTATTTTATTCACTCTGGATACTGCGAATGAGAATAGAACTATAAACAGGAAGTACGTTGCCTTATGTCCCCATTTCAGTTAAGCAGAATAAAAATAAATGTCTTATGATAGCATCTCCGATACAAGCAACAAATTACAACCAAGACAGAAAAATGATAATTTTTACAGCTCTGACAGAAGTTGGATTTCTCATTATCTACATTCAATCTCTTATACCAAGTTCTTTTAATGCTAGACCTAAATTAGCTGTCTCTTTATCCATTTTAATCATCTTAGAATACAACCATTTTTTTAATTTAATCATTTATATTCCATATTGGGATACATGTGCTGGATTTTTACATGGTTATATGGGACCCGGGTAGTGAGCATAGTACCCAATAGATAGTTTTTCAGTCCAATCCTGCCTCTTTCACTCTTGCCCCACCAGTAGTCTGCAGTCACCAGCATTTCTCTCATAAAATATTGCTAAGTTCCCTGCCTTATAATTGATTCACAATGAAATGCAAGAGTAATCTATAGGCAAATTGAATGTGTAAGTGTCTCTTTTAAATTTGAACTCTTCCTTTGTTAGAAATACAGTTAAATCAATAAGGAACATATTCTAAGACCCTACATGGCCTGGACCCTTTCTACTTACTCAACGTCGTCAGATACTCATTAATCTCCAGCCACATCAACCTACTGAACAGTTTTTGAATTTACAGAGCTCTTTGCTTTCTTGAGTTTTCACATCAGATCTCTTTTGTTAAAATGCTCTTGACTCCAATTTTGTATAATGCATTTCTATTTTTTTCTTTAAATTTTGGCTTAATTTCCTCATAGATTACCTAGCCCTAGTTTGTATTATGATCTTCTCTTTTATCTCTTCCATTGCGGGTTTATTCTTTCATCTTTTGTCTCTTTCATTGCTGGTTTATTCTTTATTCTTTATTATACTTAATATTTGCAATTACAGATATATTTTATCCTTATTTCATTTCTTTCTTCTTCTTGAATAAAGTGTACTATAAGTGATTGAAGAGACCTATCTATTTTCTTATTTTTTCCTGCCTAATGTCTAGGACACTTCTGATGCAGAGTAGATTTTAATAAATAATTGCTAATGAATGAATTTAAAAATAAGACCATGTTTGTTGAAAAAGATGTTCACTGAGGAGTTCAGTAATATTTCTTCAAGGTAGGATACAAGTTTTTTAAATTGTCTATTTCAAATATAGGCATATCATTGATGCTAATGATTTTTAAAACAGGAAAAAAAAAAGATATGATGTTAAAGACAAATTTATTGCCTTGGATTTGTGGCTGAAAAATTGTCCAACTTTCCTTCCTAATATGACCTCAAAATCTTGCATATTGCGAAAATCATTTTAGCCTTTTCATTTTACCTACCCATTGAATCAAGTCATTTTTATCAACCACGTCAGTTCAAGTCTCCTACACTTCTAACCTCAGGTGAATCAAGAAACACCTTCCAGGAATGTCAAATGCTTAAAAAATAATAATCAGCCCACAACTGACCGTACTTCACAATTAATGGAAAATCTTTATAGATACAAACATTGTTTGTAAACCTCTAATTTATGCAGGATATGCTTCCAGGTCTTTTTAGGCATTTTAAAAATTTGCTCTCAACAATGACCCAGCTTTTTATAAAAGGTTTTTTCCTATTTATTTTAGTTGAAGAGATTGAGGCTCTGAGAGTTTGATTTAATGAAATTCACACAGAGAGGAAGTCAAAAGCTGGGGTTCAAACCTAATCTCTGATGCTCCAGGATAGTATTATCTTGAATACATTTTAGTTTTTAAATTCAGGACTACGTATGTTTTCACAAACCTATCCTAGTGTAGAAAATCCTATCATCAGATCAGGGCAAGAACTGTTCCTATGTTTGAGGTGCATAACTGTATCTATCTACCTTTTCCAAAACCTTACAAATACAGATATGGGTTTGGGGTTGTAGTACAACCAAGCAGTAGTTGACATATTTTATTAATTGAAAGAAATAGAAGCTCATATTCTCCCAGTGTGCGGATAGGCAGCCCAATATGAAGACTTCATTTCCACTAAAAAGATGAGGAGTAATTAGGTGGCTTTAATAGCATCTTATTCTTTCAGGATATTGTACATAGATGTCACATAAAAGAGTATCAAAGATCATCTGTATTTTAGGGGTTTTTGACAGTCTTAATAAAATGAAATGAAAAATAAAATAAAGATACATAAATCTCAATGGGGGAGGTGAAGATTTATGGTCAGCATAATGATTTTCACATATTTCTGAAATGAAGAATGTAGTTTTTGGAGGATTAAAATCTCAACTCTGGGGCTCCTTAAACAGTGGTTCTCAACTGGCAGCAATGTTACCTCCAAGAGACATTTGGCAATGTCTGGGGACATCTTCGGTTGTTGCAACCTGGGGGTGTGGGTGTGTCACTGACTTCCACTGATTAGAGGCCGGAGACGCTACTAACCATTCTTTAATGTACAGGATAGCCCTTACCCAAAAGAATTATCTAGCACAAAATGTCAGTGGTGCCAAGCATTAAAAAAACCTTAGTCTAAATGTAACTATCAAATAACAAATGATTAAGCCCCATGGTTAAACAAATTACCTTGAGCTCACCTACACAGCACCTAGGGGCAATCTGATACCAGAGAAGTTCCTCAGAAAGGAAACCAGTGAAAAACTGAGAAAACTGAAAGACTTCACTTGAGAGATGTTAAAAGACTTATTAATCACACATGAAAGTGTACAAAGATGAATGCAAAGGATGTAAACCTTACCAAAAGGCAAGTTCAAATACTTTTTAAAAAGATTCTAGTAAGTCTTCTTATTGTTTCGCTGTGTTT
Organism: Homo sapiens; assembly: GCF_000001405.40. Classification (NCBI taxonomy): domain Eukaryota; kingdom Metazoa; phylum Chordata; class Mammalia; order Primates; family Hominidae; genus Homo; species Homo sapiens. The sequence continues at coordinate 4,943,187 of NC_000011.10, read as the reverse complement.
CATTTTGTTTTTCTATTGGACATTGGTCATTTGTGAGAGGTTTGTGGGAAAACATTGTAAGGGATGGAACACTACAAAATTATAAGGGACGAAGGGGAGCATCATTTAGTCCAAGCAGAGAATATGTGAATTAGGTGGAGAGAATATGCCTGTATGATATAGGAGTTACATGAGAACAATACTGTAATTTTTAAAGTAGACAACTACTTGTCTGTACAACCTAAGCATCTTAGTTTTACTAGGGCCAATGAATTTTCAATGCCATGAAAAAATATTCTTTAATATATTGAATTGTGTACAATCAACCCAATCCATTTAATTGAATGTGTTATTCTTGCTTGAGAATTTGAGTCCCCATACATGTCACATTAAAAAGGTATAATATATTTGTGTGGGTCTATGTGTGTGTACCCATGGGTTTGCCCATATCTGAATGTTTTTCATGTAGATAAGCCAGAAAAATTTCTCCTTTTGTTATTTGTGAGATCATTAACATTCTTAAAATAATCAGAACTTAAAAACACACTTAAACACAAAAGCAAGATGAAAATATCTTATTGCAACCAAAGCAAAAATAGTTCAATAAAATATAATAGCCAATCATTATTTTAAAAGATTTTTAGAAACCAAGGAATAGAAGATAACTACTCTAATTTTAGAAAGTAAAACTTAAACCCCTTTCTCAATAAAAAGCAGTAAGCCTAAAGGTCAATGATAAAATATTAAAACATTCTCTCAAAATTCAAGACAAACAAGGATACCCTACATTACCACTCTCCTGTAATTTTGATTCAGGTCTAGCTGGCCCAATAAGATAGGAGAGAAAGTAACAAGAATAGAAGATAAAGAGACATCCAAGAACTCCTGAAGAGAATCCAGGATATAAATAAATAAATAATAAACAAACAAACAAATGTAGTATAATTGAAAAAGAAAATTAAAACTTTTTTTAATGTAAGACTCACTACTTTGTCATTTTAACACAACAGAAGCAGTCCTTAGTCAACTTAATTTAGGAAAGACAATTTTTATCAGGCATGTTCTTCTTGGCAGCAGTCTGAGTAGGGTTTTACTTCCTTTTTTTTTTTTTTTTTTTTTGAGATGGACTCTCATTCTGCTGCCCAGGCTGGAGCAGAGCACAGTGGCACGATCTTGACTCACTGCAACCTCTGCCTCCCGGGTTCAAGTGATTCTCCTGCCTCAGTCTCCTGAGTAGCTGGGACTACAGGCATGCGCCACCACGCCTGGCTAATTTTTTGTATTTTTAGTAGAGATGGGGTTTCACCATGTTAGCCAGGATGGTCTCGATCTCCTGACCTCATGATCCACCTGCCTCGGCCTCCCAAAGTGCTGGGATTACAAGCGTGAGCCACGGCACCTAGCAGGTTTTACTTTAAAAAAAAGAACCTGCAGCAAACAGTTTGCTTATTTCTATTTTTTCCTTTTTATAAAAATGAATAACCTCCCAAACAGATTAAACATTATTGACAGATTTGCTTCCATCTAATAGAAAATGTAGCATGATAGTCAAGCAGCATGCCTCAAGCATGATGGTCTTGGATGACCAGCATAAGAATCACCTTGGAACTTATTGAAAATATAGTGATTTACATCCCATTCAAAATCTACTGAATCAAAATATTCATTTTAACAAACTCTTCAGATAATTTATTTGCACATTAAAGTTTAAGAAACACAGTACTAAAGCAATTCATTATCACCAACTGTATAAGAACCCGTATGTGTTTGTGTATTTACAGAGGTAGGAAGACTTACAAAGATTTCTGGTGAAAAGTGAAAATCCATAATGAATTTGTCTCTTTCTAATTTCCACATATCTAATTAGATTATAAGTGCATTCTAGTAGGTAAATTGGATATGATTTACACTGAAAAGACAGGCTGGCTATATGTGGTTGCTGGCCCATGGTTTGTTCATTCTTGTTACAAAGAGAATCTTCTGCCTACAAAGTAAAGGTAGTGTAAATGTACATAAAATATCATGACTGATTCTATTGATTGGATAAGCAGGATTGACTAAGGGACTAAAGAGGCAAGTGATAGAGTGAAAGAATAAATATGCTATGCTTAGCTAGCAAATGGCTTATCCTATGTATATTAAAAAATCATTCTTTATTTAAATAAATGTGGAAAAGGTATATAATCCAACAGAAAGAGAACAAAAGCTTTGAACAGATACTTCAAAAGAGGAGATTTAAATGGTCAATAAGCCTATAGACAGGGGAGTATAATTTCCAATTGGAGGGAAATTAGTATGCACTATTAATGATCTGATCTCTTTTGGAACTTGGGACGCTAAAACAACTAGCTGATCTGCCTCTGGATATACTGGCTAATTATAGCTAGGGGAAAATGAACCAAGGTCAAGAGCTAATGAACAGGGGCTGGGTTTGAATATGACCCCCAACTTCTGATCACATGCAGTTTTCTCTGCCAAAGTCTGCATTATGAGTTTGGCCCTAGATTTGTGTCCCTTGAGTCAACGTTTAGAAGCTTTTCCATCAAGTATTGTGTTATTCTTTCAAACAGCCCCTGCTGTTAGGCATCCCAAGGGGCTCTTAGAGCTTCATAAAACAGTGCCTACAAGCATAAAAGAGGAGCTTAAAGGATTCTTTCCTACTTCTGATCACTTTATTATCACTGATTTTATAGCAAAGTATCACACTGATTTAAAATGGTAAGACAAAATCCTACTTTTTCAAAATGTCTGACAAAATTTGCATTACATCTTCTGTTTGGATTCTGAAAGGATGGACTAAATGTTAAATTAACAAGAAAAATAAGATGTCGTGGAGATTAAGCGTATTGTAGAATTTTCAAGGAGAGACAGAGTGTACACTTTGGTGGGCAGTATGTGTCTGGGGAAGTATTAGGAATGTCCATCCAGGCATGCCCAGTCTGTATGATACGTGTGAGAAGGATGTATATCTGTATTATCACATGATTCTACCTTAAGTCACTGCACCTCTCTAAGATTTTGTGTTGTTTTATGTATAAAATGGATAAAATAATCACCTAAGTGAGAAAACCTATATAGATCATTAATCAAAATAGCATATTATTATCTACAAGTTAAATATAATAATATATAATATAATAATTACATTTGGGGGTGTTTGTCCTATATATTTTAATTAAATCTCAATAGTGACTACCTCTAAAGAATAATGCAATCTTTAAGACAATGGTGAGACAAATGCCAGAACACAAATGGCCACAGTCTATTGACATAAGACTATTTTAGCTGTAGCTAGTACAGTAAAGAAAGCAAGGTATACGGCTTAAGAAGTTTCAGAGGATGTGTAAATTCATAAGTGATATATCTTATGTCATTATCTGTGGCTTGGCCTTTCTCTTAAGTTCCAAATATTTATTCTTAATAGGCTATAGATATCCAAGGAAGCAAGGTCCTGGGATAGAAATTTGGGCACATTGAGAGGTTGTGAAGAAGGAAAAAGTCTCTCAACAAAGCAGCCAATAGACCCCATAAGCACTAAGAAATTATACTTTCCTTGGAGCCAAGGTTTTCCCATACTGTCCATATTCTTAGAAAAGTCTGAATCCAACATTGACAGGTAATTAAAAATGAGGAAAATTGCATGAATGTTTAAATAGAGAGTTAATAATTCCTAAATGATTACAATAATGGAAAATACAACCTATACAGATAACAACTTTGGAAAAGATAGCCACTCTTTTAGGAAAACAGCCGAGGAACTGTGTTCTGAGATATTAAGAAGGGCTAATACATTTTGCCGTCTGAGGAGCACTGAATGAGGACTCTAAAATAAGACAAACCAAGAGGTAAAAATCAGACACATTTTATTTGATGAAATAAGTGAAGTGTAGCCTGAAGAATGGGGGAAATTATTACCATCTTTAACTTTGGTAAATGATATTCCATTAAATAATTTTGGAGCTACAACTAATTTCCATTTACTATGCTAGGTGTTAAAAATGCAACAGTGAACAGTGTAAACATGATTCTCTCCCCTTATATAATAGTTAAGGGAGAAGATAGACATCAAATAATAAATCAGGAAAATAATAAGGAAGCTATTTTGTGTGAATGGGACTAGATTACGTGCCTGAAGAGAAAATAAGATTAACAAATTTAAGAAACATATATCAACTCAATTCAAGGAAGAAAACTAATCTGAGTATTCCACCATGAAGTAGATGGCTTTAGGTATTAGTTAATATGCTAATACTGGGGAGAAATTAGGATGTATTTGTTGATGACTACTCATTCAGCGTGATTTAGACTACCTTCTATACAGGAAGGAGGGTAAGACTACATATTTTCTAAAGGTTTTTTTATTTTTAAACCCTAAGATCATGTAATTATGAACTTCCAGTTCTGCCATTACTTCAAATGTTCATCCTATACATATATGCTGGTATGAATATAGGTTTGGGATAATTCATGAATTTCCCTCCTAATCCAGAGTAAACTGTGCTGTTCCCTTCAAAATTTTGCTTTCCTTGCTCAAGAAGTTTTTATAAAATTGAAATAAGATAACTGGTTTTATGAGATTAAGACATGAGTATTTTCATGTAGTCAAAGGATTGTCTTGAATTGTTAAGTGCGCAAAGCCTAAGTTGTTTGATAATTTAACAAGTTCCAACAAACTCCTGGGTGAGGAAGCAACTCATATTCTTCCCATTTGCTTTTATGTTTGGCTTTCTTTTTGTTTTCTTTTTTTTTTTTTCAGTCTGAACTGACAGTAGAAACGTAGATGTTTGACATTAAGAAGTATCTACTCTTAGTATCTATAATGTAACAGAAAGCAATATCTTCTACCATAAGTTCACTTAAGAAATTTCCAACTGCACTGAGGTAAGCACCTAGTAAAGCATCTTCCTATGTGTCATGTCTCCTCTTAATGACACAAAAATGGAAGTCCTTAGATTCCTCCTTATCGGGATCACTGGACTGGAGAAAAGTCGCACCTGGATATCCATTCCTTTCTTATCTGTGTACCTTCTTTCTTGGATGGGTAATTTTACCGTCCTCTTTTTTATCAAGACAGAGCAAAGCCTCCATGAACCTATGTATTATTTGCTTTCCATGCTCTCCATCTCTGACCTAGGGCTGTCTCTGTCTTCCTTACCCATCACTTTGGGACTATTCCTATTTGATGTCCATGAAATTCATGCAGCTCCATGCTTTGCCTAGGAATTTTTTATCCATCTGTTTACAGTCAGTGAAGCCTCTGTACTGTCTGTAATGGCATTTGACTGGTATGTGGCAATCCACAGTCCTTTGAGATACAGCACTATCTTAACTAGTCCCAGAGCCATCAAAACAGGGGTTCTTCTGACTTCCAAGAATGTTCTTTTGATCCTTCCACTGCCCTTTCTCTTGCAAAGGCTGAGATATTGTCATCAAAACCTGCTCTCCCACTCCTATTGTCTCCACCAGGATGTCATGAAGCTGATGTGTTCTGACAACACAGTCAATGTTGTCTACGGACTCTGTGCAGGACTTTCTACTATGCTGGACTTGGTGTTTATTACCTTCTCCTAAATTATGATTTTAAGGGCTGTACTGGGAATTGCTACCCCCAGACAGCAGTTCAAGGCCCTCAACACGTGCATCTCTCACATCTGTGCTGTGCTTATCTTCTATGTGCCCACGCTGAGTGCTGCCATGCTCCACCAGTTTGCCAGGGATGTGTCTCCTATGATCCACGTCCTCATGGCTGATATTTTTCTGCTGGTGCCACCCCTGTTGAATCCCATCGTGTACTGTGTGAAGACCCACCAAATCCGAGAAAAGGTTGTGGGGAAACTTTGTCCAAAAGTAAGTTGATCAAAGGAATGAGAAAGGGAATGAATGTATAAGTGGCAACTAAATAGACGTTGAATGTTTCACTGGGAGAAAGTATACTTTACTAGAGTGGTCTTGTATTTTATAGTCAGATGGAGTTCACAGAATGAATGACTTTTGATATTCAGTACCCTAAGTGCCCTTATGCCCCTGTGAGTTTGTGAAAAGTACTTCAGCTCTCTGATTCTAAGATTGTACATCCAATAATCTAAGCCTTCAAGGAAGACTGGAAGCATCTGCTTCCTGCTTTTTAAAATATATGCCAATACAATAATAAGAGAAAATACCTTTAAAAAAGTATTCTCCTGCTTTTCTTTATATCCGTAGCAAAAAAATGCCTAGTAAGAGAAGAGTTAAATTATTTCTTCAAGTTTTGTTGATGACGCAATGTTTGATCTAATTCGAGGTCACCTTGCACAGACTTAAAAATTTTAAAATATGTATATTAACTGCATATTTGGATGGATGTAAATTCAAACTGCAAAAGCTATATTATTCTGGAGTCATACTAGTCAATTACATTATTACAAAGGGTATATTTTTAAAGAACCCCAAATGACCATATCTCCATTGTTTATTTTAGTGGCCCATATTACAAAAAAATACATTTATCTTCTCATGGGTACATTCTTAGCTCTGGCTATTGCTTTTTAAACCTTTTCTGCATTTATATTTTACGCCCAGCTCTTAGAATCAGCTAATTATACCCACTCTCTAGAGATTATCTTTTCTATAATTTAAAAATAATCAGTGAAGATCTAACTATTTTCCTCAATCTTTTATCTAAGTAAGACTGCATTTTCACTATGAAGCCTTCCCTGACCATTTCCAGCCTAAATAGACTTTTAAACTTCTCTTAAATATCAATCTTTCAAGAATTAAATAGACACAATAAAAAATGATAAAGGGGATATCACCACCAATCCTACAGAAATACAAACTACCATCAGAGAATACTACAAACACCTCTACGCAAATAAACTAGAAAATCTAGAAGAAATGGATAAATTCCTCGACACATACACTCTCCCAAGACTAAACCAGGAAGAAGTTGAATCTCTGAATAGATCAATAACAGGAGCTGAAATTGTGGCAATAATCAATAGTTTACCAACCAAAAAGAGTCCAGGACCAGATGGATTCACAGCCGAATTCTACCAGAGGTACAAGGAGGAACTGGTACCATTCCTTCTGAAACTATTCCAATCAATAGAAAAAGAAGGAATCCTCCCTAACTCATTTTATGAGGCCAGCATCATTCTGATACCAAAGCCAGGCAGAGACACAACCAAAAAAGAGAATTTTAGACCAATATCCTTGATGAACATTGATGCAAAAATCCTCAATAAAATACTGGCAAACCGAATCCAGCAGCACATCAAAAAGCTTATCCACCATGATCAAGTGGGCTTCATCCCTGGGATGCAAGGCTGGTTCAATATACGCAAATCAATAAATGTAATCCAGCATATAAACAGAGCCAAAGACAAAAATCACATGATTATCTCAATAGATGCAGAAAAAGCCTTTGACAAAATTCAACAACTCTTCATGCTAAAAACTCTCAATAAATTAGGTATTGATGGGACGTATTTCAAAATGATAAGAGCTATCTATGACAAACCCACAGCCAATATCATACTGAATGGGCAAAAACTGGAAGCATTCCCTTTGAAAACTGGCACAAGACAGGGATGCCCTCTCTCACCACTCCTATTCAACATAGTGTTGGAAGTTCTGGCAAGGGCAATTAGGCAGGAGAAGGAAATAAAGGGTATTCAATTAGGAAAAGAGGAAGTCAAATTGTCCCTGTTTGCAGATGACATGATTGTATATCTAGAAAACCCCATTGTCTCAGCCCAAAATCTCCTTAAGCTGATAAGCAACTTCAGCAAAGTCTCAGGATACAAAATCAATGTGCAAAAATCACAAGCATTCTTATACATCAACAACAGACAAACAGAGAGCCAAATCATGAGTGAACTCCCATTCGCAATTGCTTCAAAGAGAATAAAATACCTAGGAATCCAACTTACAAGGGATGTGAAGGACCTCTTCAAGGAGAACTACAAACCACTGCTCAATGAAATAAAAGAGGATACAAACAAATGGAAGAACATTCCATGCTCATGGGTAGGAAGAATCAATATCGTGAAAACGGCCATACTGCCCAAGGTAGTTTACAGATTCAATGCCATCCCCATCAAGCTACCAATGACTTTTTTCACAGAATTGGAAAAAAATACTTTAAAGTTCATATGGAACCAAAAAAGAGCCCACATTGCCAAGTCAATCCTAAGCCAAAAGAACAAAGCTGGAGGCATCACACTACCTGACTTCAAACTATACTACAAGGCTACAGTAACCAAAACAGCATGGTACTGGTAACAAAACAGAGATATAGATCAATGGAACAGAACGGAGCCCTCAGAAATAACGCCGCATACCTACAACTATCTGATCTTTGACAAACCTGAGAAAAACAAGCAATGGGGAAAGGATTCCCTATTTAATAAATGGTGCTGGGAAAACTGGCTAGCCATATGTAGAAAGCTCAAACTGGATCCCTTCCATACACCTTATACAAAAATCAATTCAAGATGGATTAAAGATTTAAACGTTAGACCTAAAACCATAAAAACCCTAGAAGAAAACCTAGGCATTACCATTCAGGACATAGGCATGGGCAAGGACTTCATGTCCAAAACACCAAAAGCAATGGCAACAAAAGACAAAATTGACAAATGGGATCTAATTAAAATAAAGAGCTTCTGCACAGCAAAAGAAACTACCATCAGAGTGAACAGGCAACCTACAACATGGGAGAAAATTTTTGCAACCTACTCATCTGACAAAGGGCTAATATCCAGAATCTACAATGAACTCAAACAAATTTACAAGAAAAAAACAAACAACCCCCATCAAAAAGTGGGCGAAGGACATGAACAGACACTTCTCAAAAGAAGACATTTATGCAGCCAAAAAACACATGAAAAAATGCTCATCATCACTGGCCATCAGAGAAATTCAAATCAAAACCACTATGAGATACCATCTCACACCAGTTAGAATGGCAATCATTAAAGAGTCAGGAAACAACAGGTGCTGGAGAGGATGTGGAGAAACAGGAACACTTTTACACTGTTGGTGGGACTGTAAACTAGTTCAACCATTGTGGAAGTCAGTGTGGCGATTCCTCAGGGATCTAGAACTAGAAATACCATTTGACCCAGCCATCCCATTACTGGGTATATAGCCAAAGGACTATAAATCATGCTGCTATAAAGACACATGCACACGTATGTTTATTGCGGCATTATTCACAATAGCAAAGACTTGGAACCAAGCCAAATGTCCAACAATGATAGACTGGATTAAGAAAATGTGGCACATATACACCATGGAATACTATGCAGCCATAAAAAATGATGAGTTCACGTCCTTTGTAGGGACATGGATGAAATTGGAAATCATCATTCTCAGTAAACTATCGCAAGAATAAAAAACCAAACACTGCATATTCTCACTTATAGGTGGGAATTGAACAATGAGATCACATGGACACAGGAAGGGGAATATCACACTCTGGGGACTGTGGTGGGGTGGGGGGAGGGGGGAGGAATAGCATTGGGAGATATACCTAATGCTAGATGACGAGTTAGTGGGTGCAGCGCACCAGCACGGCACATGTATACATATGTAACTAACCTGCACAATGTGCACATGTAACCTAAAACTTAAAGTATAATAAAAATAAAAATAAAAAAAACAAAACAAACAAAAAACAAAAACAAACAAAAAAAAAAACAAAAAAAATAACAGGGTAATGGTTAAAAAAAAAAATCAATCTTTCTGTCTTTCTTAATCATTTTACATACCGTGTAAATTGCCTTGTAATCCCAGAGTCATAGGTGTTGTTTTTGCATATATAACCTGTGTTTATAGGACCTTAAACAATTATTTGATGTTAGAATATGAATCCCAGGAGACTAGTGATTGTCCGCCTTTTTACTACTTCATACCGGTTGCGAGCACATCGAGTAGCCCATAGTATGAACACAGATAATTTTGAATAAATAAATGAGTGAACACTTAGCAAACATTGAGATAACATATATAGAGTCACAAAAACCACACACACAAATACACACACATTGTCACCTTTAATCCTCAGTTTATAATAATTACTCCAAATTTTATTATTCTCCCAATACTTTTAAATATTTTCCTACGATATTCCACAGAGGCATTTTCGGCTTTCTCTAACACTTCTAGAAAACCATACATACAATTTAACATCGTAGAGAAATAAGGTTTTCTCATAACTCATTCATGTCATTGTTTGTTTTATCTGTGTCCAACACATGCTTCAATGCCAATGTTTGTCTTAGATTGTAAACAAGGCAATGAACTTTTATTTTTATAATGCCATGAATAAATATACTTAACAAAGATCTTGAGAGGAACTAGTGAAAATGATGTGTATTTTGACAGAGAAGAGTAGTAAGTAATGCCAAAAGGTCAGAGAAATTGAGAAAGTGACTTTGGGGACTTCATTCGACTACAAAGAGAATTAGGTTTCTTGACCAGGAACCATGTTCAGAAATAGCTGGAGAGCGAACCACTCCAAAACTAAGTGATCCAAAACAACAACAATTATATATCTGATCATAGCTGTGTAATTTGTGCAGAGCTCAGCAGGGATGTCTTGTCTATTCTCCACATAGTACCAACTGGGCATCTTCACTGGGACAGGGGATACACTTTGAATATCGTTCATTCCCAAAGCTGGTAGCTGACGCTTGCTGAGTTTAGCTAAGCGCCTACATATGCCTCTCCATGTAGCTTAGGCTTCTATCAGCATGTTAGCTGGTTTCCAAGAAAAACTGTTTTCAAGAACAAGAGAGCATATACCAGGAAACAGGATAGAACCTTCTAGTCTTGTTAAGGACTATAGCTGCAACAAATAAAGAGTCGTTTCCACTGCATCCATTAGTTATACATGAATGGAACAAGCTCAGATTCAAAGGAAGAGAAATACGTTCCATCTCTTGATGGGGCAATTGATACATAATTTGGAGCTGCCGTTTATACAACACAGACCAGAATGATTATTTAGTTTAATCGTCAGTTTCACAAACTGCGAATTATGAATCAGTGTAGACCTCCACCTGTGTGTCTGTGCCTGCCTGTTGCTGAGCACTGATGGAGACCATCCAGAAGTTGTTCAAAATGGAACAACTCTATCGGGAGTTGTTTGTAGTAAGTGCTATTTCAGCTGATCATCAAATATGACTTAAAATATCGTTACTTTGCATTCTTGTTGAGCTGCTACGTTCATTTTTCTGAGGGATCAAGGAAGCAAGATGATAAGGAGTAGAAAAGAACCGAACGTGTGCTAGCTTCTTTAGTCTCCCTACTATACTCCCTATCCTCATGCTTCCTCCTTAAAAGGCAGTAAAATGAGAATTATTCCTATTATTTGCCACCAGACATAAAGCCTCCTATATGTATGCTACCAACCTATTGCATTCTCCTTTCTAAGAAAAATGCCATTTCTCTCTATCAAAACTTAATGCAAGTGACCCAAAACTAAATTTCATATCTTCCTGTTTTTTGAGACCTTGCTGCACCTTCAGTATTTTTGCTACTTTTTCAATTTCCTTGCTAATAGCTACTCTCCTTCAACCTATATTCTTATTTTAAAAGAATAGCATGTTAAGTGTTACATGCCCTTGCTACCTCAACTTGTCCAATTCTTATTAATTTATTTATTGTTTTAATATACTTTAATTAATGAATTCATAATATAAATCTCTCTATATATAAAACACATAGGTCATTTAACTTGAATGCATATTATATGTTTGCGTGTTTTGTCTTTTGTTTTTGGCTCTTTGTTCCTCTTCTTCTGCTTACTCTCCAGCCATGAGCAAATCTCTAGCCCTCCAGTCAACTATTATTCACAGGTTACAGTGTTTCTAAAAAAGAGGCACTACCTGCATATGAGGCAGGACAATACTAAGTGGGATGTTTACCAATTCAGAAACTAAATGCCAATGGATCACCCAGGTAATCTGTAAAGGGATTTTATATAGCTCCCCATGGATAACCCTTCCAGAACCCTGTCTCACTTTGCTCTTCATACTCATCCAGTCATAGAATATCATATTAGTTGATGGAATTCCTGATATCGAACATTTATCTTCCTCAAAAAATTCAAGCTTGCAATATTCTCTGTCTCTCTCTCTCTTCCTCTCTTGCAAATATACATTTATCTATCTTTCTACTATGAGTAGAAATTAATACAATAGTATTAATTTCAGCTTTAGCTTTATAAATTATCTTTAGTTGTATCTATACTTAGACTCTTAAAATACTTCAACTACTCTTTAATAATTAAAATGATTTAAAATTAACAATTAGACACATTTGAGAACAACGCTGCAAAAAGAAATAAAAGTATGTATGTAAATATTATTTATATAGTATTTACTAATTGAGAAATGGTTTTAGTATATTTGTTAACCAGTAAAAGAGTTTTAATCAAAAACTATTTTTGAGTATAAAAATCTCCTCTAAAAGTTAAGCAATCTAGATCCCTGTGCAAGTATAGTAAACAAGCCTTGAGTTACCAAATAATTTCAATTTGCTAAAAATATTAAATCTAAATTTTGGGGTAATCCAACTTTTCAATACTTTGATTAAAGACGTCTATTTTGTTTTGAGCAAAGACATAGTAAGGCAAAGTCTTTATATGTGTGCAGTAGAAGGGGCAGAATGAGGATTGGGTAGATGGAGCCATTAGACCATGATTCGGAGATGGTAAATTTTCTGCCAGCCCAAATGGGAGCTCATGAGCAAAGATGGCTCGAAAAAGGAGTTTCCCCCATTGGCAAGAAAGGGGTAAGCACTGACACTATTACTTTGTTCTTTTACTATTAGGTCATCCCAAGAAGAGTGTGGCTTCAGCCAGATATCCAAGGTATACCTTGAAGCATTCGTCAGCTACCCACACTCTTTATAGCTAGGCAACAAATGGTTTCTTCAAGTGGGATCTGAGAAGCACATCTTTACGTCTATTACACCAAATTAGACTGATTTACCAAGTAGTACTCCAGAGACTCAATTATCTTTAGAATCTGATTGAAGATGATCAACAACAACAAAAAACTGTACTTTAATAGTGATGTTTTTATTTTTAAAATTAATATAATCTTTGCCACAAAATGTCCTAATTTGGTTACTATAAATGTATATATAAATCAAAGAAATTGAAAGAATTATCTGTATATAGTCATAAATTATGTTCACACCAAGATTATTCCAAGTACATTTTTGAACAAAACGTTTCTCAATTTTACAAGAACATTGATTGTTTTTATCATATTGCTGTCCTCTAAAAACAAAATATGCATTCATACTATTGCTACATGAAAATCTGTATCTTTAATGCTGAACTTCTTAACTGAATTAAAAATAGCATTCACAATAAGGTTAAGTGTTTTACAGAATAAAACTTGACAGAGAAAATGCTCAAAAACTATACTTTGCATAATGAATTAGAATAACATAATTAAACTTATATAATTAACTGATTTTCTATCTAAAGCATCTAAATAATGAGTCAGAATTAACATAATCTAGCTTTTGCTACTGGAGCCAACCTCACAACAGCTATCCCTTCTATTTCACAATGACTAGAAAAACTGCAATAAAAAGGGAGTAAAATTAATTTGAATGAACAGTTATTCAACCTAATTGAAAAATTATGAATTTATAGCATAACATGTGAATCTACCTTCAGCAGCTGTGCATAAGCACTTTTATATACAGTGTTCTGAAGAAAATTCCAAACTTTTGACATTGATGCTAATTTTTTTCTTCTGATTGTCATGTGATTGATTATATCAATTTGGCCACCACAGTGATAGTACCTGCTGACAAACATTTTGTACAAGGTTTGAATTCATTATCTTTTTTTTCTGAGAAACAGAAATAGAGTAAGTTTGAAGCACAAACTTTCTTTTGCCAAGCTCTTTGCAGCTAATGGGTTTATTATAAAATAACGTTCTCAAACAGTGGAATAAGTCATACCATTCCCATAAATGATGTGTTGTGCACATGTACCCTAAAACTTAAAGTATAATAATAATAATTAAAAAAATAAACACAAAACACATTGGTTTTTCTCTGCTGCACATATTTTTGGGTTTACTTAATCAAATAATTTCTTTTTGACTCCAGACTACTTGTAGCTAGTAGTTTCATTCACTTAACGAGCTTCGGCAGAAGTAACCAAAGTGTTTAATTTTTTTAAAGAAAGTATCTAGAAGGGCCAGCATTGTCAAATACATTGCCCACCAACAATTGGACCTGGAAAAAGTTAGCTACATCTGCATCCTTGTGTTCCATTACATTTCATTGTATCAGTGAGGGCCCTGCCTGCTCTCTTTTTAGCTTTAATATTCCACTGCAAATGGTCAAGAAAAGAGAGATGGGATCTCACTGGTCATTTTTCAGATTTACTAATGTGTTAAAGCGAGAAGTGTGTGCACTGCACATGTATCCCACATGGCTAGATGAAGCTGCAGCAGAACCTTGAAGTACAAAGAGGAGATCTAGCAACCCATCCTAGCTCATTTTACTGCTATTATCTAAGACTTACGTGAAAAAAAATAAAAATTAAAAAATCTGAGACAGATCTAAAACTGGTTGGGAAACCAAGACAAGTATAAATTAATTCCAATCCTGGAAACTGAAGATTATGCTCAATCTACTAATTATTTAAATAATTGTGTTACTGAAAACCCATTACATTTCAGCTATTCTGTTCAGATGTTTATTCCAATTGTTTACATTGATTTTGGAAGAATACCTGATACAGACGTTGGTAGTTAAAATGGGTTGGTGAACCATTTGAAGATATGAAATTGACATTTAGAGTATAAATTTCTGAATTATGACTCAAACTACATGTGTATTGTGGAGAAAACACAAAGAATGGCCAATGGTAATGAAGAAACCTGTGGTTTTTAGATGGAAGGCTGAAGAGAGCTCTCCTTCTCTCTAAACTCAAACCAAATTATATTAGCAGTAAACTCTGAAACAGGAAGGATGTCTGATAGTGTACTAGGATCTGTGTAAAAAAAAGGAGGAAAAATTCCTTTTTTAAAGCATAAGAAAATAATCTCAGAAAGATTAAGTAATTTGTCCTAGGTCATATAGTCACATGGCTAGAAAGTGTTGGAATCTGAATTCTCTCTCTCTCTCCCCCCTCGACCCTCTCCCCACACGCCACAATACTGGTCTTCAGGCCTGGCTAGGTCTTTCTCAACCAATTTTCCAACTTGAAATGCACAACTAGAAACATCCTAACATCTTGAAAGTATCATTTAGTATCCCTTGCCCACAGATCAGGCATGATAGATGATAGATTCCCCTCTTAACACCTGATTTTTTAATCTCATTACTCAAGTATTGGGGTTTCCCAGCCTCTTGTGACCTCTGTCCTCAGAAAAAGCCATGAGAACTCGTCAGGGAATTCTCAGACTTGGGAAAGGCCCCTGAGGAGAAGCTTTTGGGCTCTTCAAAAAGACCTTGAGTCTAAACGGAATAGTCTTGTAGCTGAGCTACCATCAAACCTGAGCTCTGGATGGAAGTATGTCCTCCAAGCCCTTTTCTCTCCAACTGTCACGGCTCAGGCATGCATTGCAAGCAGAAGCACATAGAAAACAGTCAGAACACATAGATCCCTAGTCACAGGGAACCTGAGCCACACACTGAGCTCTCAGTCTTAGCTGTTTGCTAAATCCCCTCATCATGTCAGTCAAGGCAGTTTTGAGGGGCAAATGGACTTGAGATTGACCTGTGGTTCTAGTCCTAGCTTTGTCATTCTGTGTGATCTTGTAAAAGTCATGTTTATCATTTTGTTTATTCCTTGCTGCCTGTCATCTCTTTTCTCTTCATTCAAAGCACTAGTTTTTCTACCTTCCTCACCTTAAATTGTATCATGACAATCAGAGTGGATTTGACAGCACTTTGTAACAATTAAGCTCTATACTAAAATAAGGTCATGATTGTACTTCGAAGATACTTTGGAGACTGTCATAAAGACAGATGCTGATAATAGTTAACAACATTGTATGCAACCATATGAGGAACAGGAGCCAGAGGGAGTCAGAGTCTCATCAGGATCATTGCCCGGCCCACCTCTTTTCTGTCTGTCATAAACCCTAGGATGACATTCATTTATTTCAATAAATTAGAGCTGAAAGGACAGTGGTGTCTCATGCAGTCTAGTGGAGGAAATCAGATGATACTTCTCTGATCCACTAATCTGGAGGTAAGTGCCATTGAGAAGAAAATGGACAATAGCTGCACTAAAAACTATTCTGTGTAATCCCTATTGCATTTCATCTCTTTTTATCCATTCACTCATACATTTATTCAACATGTATTGAGCAGACTTTACTAAGTTCCAAATCTGTGCTAGGCTTGTGAGCTCTGATGATGCAGCAATTCCATTTCTTGGGTGTGAGTCATGATGTGCTTTTATTTATTTTTTTTCCTCATACCTTATACACTTGCCTCTTACCCATATCCAAAATATAATATGCAAGGACTATATTTTGAAAGTGAGAAAATAAATGGGATGGAATACTATGATTGCAACCTCTCACTAGGTAGGCAGAATGACTTTTCTCTGTCTGGAGACATAAATGTGAACATAGATGACCTCCAAAGGTTTCTGGTATTTCTCAAACTCTGAAATGGCTCAGAGTAAGATAGAATCAAACCAGCTTCACTATGCCTGCTGGCTGAAAAGTCATACATATATTTAAACTTTTACTTGAATTTCTCTTTTATTGATGGAAAATTTTCTCTTCTTTATTGCTATTTCTTATTAAAATATGTTGCCATTTTCTCACTTAATGAATGCTCTCTCTCCCATAAGGGCTTGCATCACTGCCTAAACTGCTCACAGCAAACTCTGCAAATCCTTTGATATCTACTTTTTCCTTCACAGCCCAGTTCCCCTCCAAGTCTCTACTTCTTTCCTTTATTTCTTCCTCTTTCCTTGCCATCGTTCTTTATATCCCTTTTTTTTGCTTCTCATTTGAAATCATAAAACAAGAATGGTTTTATTCTTATATTAAATTGTTATTATTTTATTGTTATTCATTTGGATTTGAAATGTGAGTGGCAAAAGCTACAGGGATTGTATTCTTTCTTCAGTAGAGGCCCTTCAATGTGCTTCTACTTTGCCAGGAAAGAAACAGAAGCTTTTTGAAAGAATGTTCTCAACTTCCTATCTTTCTTTTCTAAAAAATCCTAATATTCTCACCCATCTGTAGATTTTCTCTCAGAGGGAAATGGCACAGAATATAAACTTTTTACTTAATCCTCCTCACCCACTAATAAGGTAAGCCCTTACAATGCTTTGCCAGTCTATTAAAACAGTCTCTGAAAAATTAACAGTGACTTAGCCATTGTAAGTAAAATGTCTAAAAAACAAACAAACAAACAAACAAACTTGTCCTACTTCATTTTTTTTTTTTTTGTAGTTAACAGTGGTGGCTTGGTTTTATTGACATTATGTACTATTACTTTCATCCTATTTCTCTGATTCTCCATTCTCTGTCCCCTTTCTAGTTTTAACATTATGACCTGCCCTCATTTAAAAGTTATCAGTTTTATGAACTGACCCCCCATCTTTCCTTTTCACCATTCATCTCCTAGGGACTTTCTCCATACCCACGGTGCATACCTGTAACTCAAGCCCTCAGTCACACCACAATCGCTACATATAATATCCTCTAGACCCTCTCCCCAGAAATTTCTCTTTAAATTCAGCATATCCAAACTGGACTCGGTCTCTAAAACATGTGTCTTCTGTTGCCATCCATCTTGACTTATTGAATGGTATTCATATAATGGAAATGTCTATTCATAGACTTTTCCAAGATAGGAAACGCATGGGATTTTAAATTTAATTTTTTTAATGTTCTCTTCTAATGGCTAAAGTACTGTGCAATAGTAGTGGGAAAATACGGTTTAATGTCCAATAACATAGACTTTGCAGTACAATGTCAGGGTTTAAATTTCATCCCCAACACTTACTTGCTCTGTAAACCTACCCAGGTCACTTTACCTCTCTGCGCTACAATTTTCTCACCTGTACTATGCTCCTAAGAATAGAACTTACAAGATAGAACTGGTGTCAGAGTTGAATGATGTAATGCACATTAGGCATTTACAAATTAACAGGCTCACAATGCATTTAATAAATGTTATCTTTTAGGATTTTAATGCATGTGACAATGTACTAGTCACACTACACTTATATATATATAACACAATAGAGCATTTTTCAATGCAATTGAATAAAATTTATGAAGGCAGAACAAAGGAGAACTCAGTTCAGATATTACAGGAACAGACCTGGATACCTAGATGTCATATCAATCCCAGCCCCACAGGCAAAACTCACTCTGAATGCCTTCTGGTTTCGTTTCCTCATTCTAAACCAAAGATTTCAGGCTTTTCCTGGTGATTTCAGATTTTTCTCCTTTGCTCCTTGTGTTTCAAACCTAGTGTAAATCTCTTCTTCCTTCCCATCTCTAGATCCAGTCCTGGCTTAACTGCCCTGCTATTAAAGACATACATCTCGTATCATATCTCTCAGAACGAAGTCCCAAATTCCCCTTTTCTAGAATTGTTTTCTGAAGTCCAAGATTCTTCCAAGATGTTCCTTTGTTCCAGGCTTCAGATTAGCCTACTATTATTTGCCTCCTCATCCATCAAAAGTCTCCTTCCTAGACCCAGTAGAAAAGGCTAATAGATCAGCCCCCACCCAGTTCTCCCCTATGCCATCTGCAGATGCTTCCTTACTGGCTGATCTTGGGACATTTAGGTGAGTGAGAATTCAGCCTTGTCACTTTCCAGGAATCTCATTCTATATTCCAGGTTTCTGAGTCCAAGATTGTAAAGCTATGACAATTCTTCTTAATAGCAGCCTCCAAAGAGCCACTTTCTTCCTGACGGGCTTCCAAGGTCTAGAAGGTCTCCATGGCTGGATCTCTATTCCCTTCTGCTTCATCTACCTGACAGTTATCTTGGGGAACCTCACCATTCTCCACGTCATTTGTACTGATGCCACTCTCCATGGACCCATGTACTATTTCTTGGGCATGCTAGCTGTCACAGACTTAGGCCTTTGCCTTTCCACACTGCCCACTGTGCTGGGCATTTTCTGGTTTGATACCAGAGAGATTGGCATCCCTGCCTGTTTCACTCAGCTCTTCTTCATCCACACCTTGTCTTCAATGGAGTCATCAGTTCTGTTATCCATGTCCATTGACCGCTACGTGGCCGTCTGCAACCCACTGCATGACTCCACCGTCCTGACACCTGCATGTATTGTCAAGATGGGGCTAAGCTCAGTGCTTAGAAGTGCTCTCCTCATCCTCCCCTTGCCATTCCTCCTGAAGCGCTTCCAATACTGCCACTCCCATGTGCTGGCTCATGCTTATTGTCTTCACCTGGAGATCATGAAGCTGGCCTGCTCTAGCATCATTGTCAATCACATCTATGGGCTCTTTGTTGTGGCCTGCACCGTGGGTGTGGACTCCCTGCTCATCTTTCTCTCATACGCCCTCATCCTTCGCACCGTGCTCAGCATTGCCTCCCACCAGGAGCGACTCCGAGCCCTCAACACCTGTGTCTCTCATATCTGTGCTGTACTGCTCTTCTACATCCCCATGATTGGCTTGTCTCTTGTGCATCGCTTTGGTGAACATCTGCCCCGCGTTGTACACCTCTTCATGTCCTATGTGTATCTGCTGGTACCACCCCTTATGAACCCCATCATCTACAGCATCAAGACCAAGCAAATTCGCCAGCGCATCATTAAGAAGTTTCAGTTTATAAAGTCACTTAGGTGTTTTTGGAAGGATTAAGTTAGAGTAAAGAGAGGAAGTTTTGGACATAAAGCCCACAGGTTTCTGTTTGTTTTCAGCTGTGCTGTGGCAAAATAATAAACCGTTGACTGTCAACAAAAAGGCAATTGGCTGTGCAACATAAGGCAGTGTGACCAGGAGAAAGTTACTTACCTCTCTGTTCTCCAGTTTCCTCAACTGCAGAATGAGCAAGGAAATAATTATAATACCTTCCTTCCTCATAGGGATGTTGTAAATATTTAATAATTTAGGTAGTTTTCTAACACAGTGTCTGGCAAATATACAATTTTCAATAAATATTAACCATTATGATTGGACAAAATCTAAAACAGTACAAAAGTTTCATCTTTCAATTCTCTGGCCAGTGTAATTTCATTGATGATTAACTGTTTAAACATATTTTTATTTATTTATTTTTATGTTACTTTATCATAATTACAGATTTTATTCATTTACAACATATTTGTACATATCTATATCCACACCCCAGGCAATGATTTTTCATGATAGTCTTTACTAAACATATGCCCACAAAATTAAGAAAAGGAGGAGACACCCTGGGAGTTTAAGGGAAGTTATCAAATTGAAACAGCACAAAATTATGCATGGATAATCCTCAAAAGATGTAATTGAGATTGAGGATTATCACCTGAGTAACTGGGGAAAAGCCTTGATTTCTTCCTTTAGATATGAAGGTAAAAGAGTAAAAATGTAAAAGAAAATTATGTGTTATTTTGTGCTTATTTGTAAGACGTTTCTCTCATCTCTGTATCTAGCCATATCAAACAAAGTCTGCATGAAGAAACAAATACTGCTGTTTTTCTTTCTTGGTGTATTTTGATATTCCTTGGCATATAAATCTGCTGTGTCATGCTTGTTTGTGTTGGTACATATATCCTAGTTGGCCAGTTTGTGTGAATTCATTTCTGTACATTATCACATATATCTAGATACATAGGGAGTGAACTTAGTAACTCTTTATATATTCATGTAGGTATTTTCTGCTATGACTTTATGTGGAGTCATGAGAAGGAGAGGGTTTTAAACAGCAATTTCTTCTCTTTCTAGTTACCTTGTCTTGACTCTAGATTCCAGAAAGGAAAGTCACCAGAAGGAAAACATAAAAATGTGAAATTCACCATGAAGAAGAAGTAAATTTAACTAGTAGAGCTAGAAGCAAGTTACCTACACTAAAAATTATCAATTAAGTTGATCATTTTTTCATATGCTTGTTGGCCATTAAGTGAAACATCTCAGAAACAGAAAGTCAAATACTGCATGTTCTCCCTTATAAGTGAAAGCTAAATAATGTTTACACCTGGACATAGTGTTCGAAATAATAAACACTGGTGACTCAGAAATGTAGGAGAATGGGAGGGCAGTAAGGCATGAGAAATTACCTAATGGGTACAATACACATTACTCAGGTGATGGTTACAGTAAAAGGCCAGACTTCACCACTATGCAATATATCTATGTAACAACACTGCACTTGTACCCTTTAAAATTATACAAATTTTTTAAAAGCAATAACTTTTAATAAAACTTTTTAAAAATTAATAAAGATCTATTTTAGAGCCTCTTCTTTCCCTGTGAAGAAGACACCAAAGAAAACAACTGCAAACATAACCGCTTTTGCATAACTTTAAATAAGTGCATATGATCATGAATACATACAAAGGTACACAATGGCTCGAGTATTTTAAATATGTAGATTCATACAAATATACATTCTCGTGAAATACCAAGTTTTGATAAGATACATGCACTGAACAACAGTGCTTACATGCTCACACAAGTGAAACCATACAGATCTGCACATGCATGCATATGTGTCCCAAATTAGAAACCTTCCGTAACTACACTTTTTCTTAGTACAGTGTTTCCATACTGGATGAAGCCATCAGCCTTTGGCCAGTGCATGACTTGAATCCCTCACGGATCTGCCACTGTCATTTATTTTATTTTATTTTGTTTTGTTTTGTTTTATTGTATTTTATCCATGTTTACAACCTAGTCCACTTACTCATGCTGGGCCTCTTTTGGAAAAGTCAGTATGCCTCTCTCTTTGCTAGACTGAGGCCCCAAGGCAGGATTTGGGACAACTTGGTTATAGCAGAGCTCTTTGGACTACATCTGAATTGTGAGCCTAGGGAAAAGAAGAGCTTCCCTTTTACAGAGTTCAAATAAGATAGGTACTTCATCCACTTGTCACAAGAATATAAAAGTCCTACAAGCTGCGCCTATGCTTTCTGCCATTTGTCAGTTATCCCTTCAATACCAACTTGTTACTCAGCTCATGGGATATTGTTTGGAAATCAGGACAGAATCTAAATGAGCTCCAGTGGTTTGACTTAAAAGATTAGCTACCTCTAAACTCACAGAATTCAATAAATATTCACTTGTTCATATAGTGTTATGTCTAAGTAAACACTCAAAGATGACATCTGATACCTATCAGTAATGACTGGATTTATTTACTACTAGAAGCACTTTATTTTCTGAATTAAAGTATACTTTTTAGGTAGGATATTAGAGAAAAGATTACCCTTCTCATTTTGAATATTTTATGGAGAATCAACATATGATGGTAAACCATAAATATAGGTAAAATTTGAATGAAACCCAAAGGGATTTTTATAACACAATTTCTCTCCCTATTTGGGGCTGAGAAATGAAACAAAAGTCCTTGACAGAACTGCACACAACACTACCTGAAACCATACCAAAGGCATTATGTTTAATTGTTCTGTGCTTGCTTTGCATTTAATTATATGATCTTTGCTATTATCATTATGACCATAATCCTCCATAATATTCTGAGCACTTCTTACATCTGGGGCCTCATGTCAGAGTATGGAGATTTCCTTTCTGTGTCATAATGAGTTTGGTGTAAAGCCCAATCTCCAAATGTCAGTGGCTAGAATGGAACTATGTTGGAAGAAATTAAGCTGGAATTTGTAGAAATAGTCATAGCTGAATAAGAGGAGAAGAAGTGCATTGTGGAAACAGTATGAAAGGAAGGTACAGCAAGCAAAAGACCACTTACACAAGCCAATTATAGATGGCCTACTCTTGGTTCTACTAGGTACTTACATTAAGAAAGGTTTAAATTCAGGGCTGGCAAAGGTCTCTGAATAATGTTAGAACCCAAGAGAAGAAGGCTTAGGTTTCTTAAAGAGACCACAAAGAGCACTTATAAAAAGGTCCCATAAAGACAGAAATCTAGATATCCACAAAACATAATAGCCTATTCCCTCCCTTCATTTCTCTCTCTAAAATGCCTTCTTCATCAGCTTTCCCAGGGGCCAAAAATTAACTCTTCATACCCTTGTAATCACATAAAAACTCCTTTTCAGTTCTAATTACCTTTTGCAGGGGCTCATCTCACCCCCAAGTGTACAAGAATGGATTAGTTTCTCCAATTAGCTCCTGGATGTCTGGAAACAAAGGACTGAGTTCTGAGTGGATCAGAGACAGGAAGAGGAGATGAAGTCCCTAAGAGTATGCAGAAATCAGGAGCATATAGGGTTACCTGAGCACCCAGAATAATCATCAATACCATCCCAGCATTTTCAAGAACCTAGCCTGACTTCCTTCCTCCCCTTGGTGATGGAGAAAGCATTCAATTTAAAAAAATCCCTTTTTAAATTCACTTATGATTGTAAAGTGAATTTAATTCTCCAGTGTGCATAAATTGGGGTTATGCCATATCACACATAAAACATTATCAATAGCACCCACTCTGCTTTCCCAAAGTTGTGGCGTTGGTTCAAAACTCTTGCCATATTCTTCACCAGTGGCTGGTACATGGCATCCTCTGGGCTTTCCATCCTGGTATCTCACAAGACCAGTCTCCTTGCCCCTTTTTCTCTTATCTCCAGGGTCTGAGGTAATGAGGTCCAGGGAGCCAGGCCTGCTAGGGAATTGGTTAAAGATCCTTGAAAGGGTCTCAGTGGATACCTTGGGCAGTTGCATAAAAATCATGGATTTAAACATCCGTCCTCCAGTCACTCTAGCGTTCATGGCCTTTATTTTTAGCCTTGGTATGCGAGGAGTTCATATAGTAGCCAGGTGTTTGATGCTGAGTGTAGAGCCAAGAAAAGATCCCAGAAGGCTGAGCCCGAGCTTTGGAGAGAGAAATGGTAGAAGGGACTTTGTCTACCAAAAGGCTGCAGAGAGCACCTGCTAAGGATGGTAAATGCTACAGTCAGATTTTGCTGGCTTCATGGGATCCCAGGTCTGATCTTAGCACCAGCTCAGAAAGTAGACAACAGCTTTCTCACATCAGTCAATTTCCTTGTTTTCTTGCCCAGAGACTTGCCTCCTATATGGTAACAGCAGGAATATTGATGAGACCCAGAGAATTAAGCAAGTTAGGTGGGCAAAATTGTCATGCAGGCATGAAACGAGCTCGGTTATTAAAGGTCAACATCTACCCCTAGTCTCAGACACAAGTTAGTAGAATAGGAGTTATTTCCAAGAAACAAGGAGATGGATAGGAAGTAGTCTGACTCTTTGGGAAAAAGCTTTTCTGTGACATAAAACATATTTCCCTGAGTGATCACAAAGTGTGGTCTATTATAATAGAATCAGAACAGTCATTCAACTTGCTCAAGTCCCTTCAGAAAGTAGTCTTAAAGCAAAACAACTTGAGGGCAGAAACGCCATGGATTAAGTCTATCTTGCTGAACCCACTGTATCCTGGACAGCTGCTTTAGGTCAGGAACAATGAAGTCCTTACCAAAACTGCTAATGGGTTCTGCGAGGATTTTAAATGAGAGGAACTCAGAATAATTATCATACTAAGAACTCTCTGGCGAACTGGCTAAAGGTGATCTTTTCCAAGCAGATATCTCCTGGCATCATTATTCTGAATTTTATTTTATTTCCAAGTCCCCTCCTCTAACCTATCCTCATTATTCTCTCTGATTCCTGTTCTGCTGTACCTCCTTACAATCTGAAGCACAAGTTCCAATCCCAAAGAAAGTCTGTCTTGAGTTTATAGGAAAAAAAGATGTGATCCAGACATTTAACATTTCTCTATATCTTTCTAATTTAACCTCCACCCGTTTCAGGCTGCCTTAACTTAAATAATTGCTGGGATTCGTTAACCAAAATTTTTCCAACTTCTCAGTATGTGCCTTGAAGCTATAGAGATCTAAGTTTGAATTCCAGCTCCGGCACTGACTGGCTGCGTGATTCTAGGGATATTATAAAATTCTCTAAGCCTCTCTTTCCTCATTTGCAAATTGAGACAATAATACTAACTTGCAAATTTTTTCTAAAGTCTAAGTGTGGTGATTTTTGGAATGTCCCTAATACAGAGCCTGGCAAATTGTAGCTGTTCTTCAGTAATTCTATTTCTTTCTTCTTCACCATCCTATTTCATTTTAATGTCAAAAATATTTTCCGCCTTAGGTTTATTTTGACATTAAAATGAAATAGGGTGGTGAAGAAGAAAGAAATAGAATTACTGAAGAGTATCTACTATTTGTCAGGCTCTCTGAATTTTTTACAATAGTAATTATGGAACATGGATGTTTTAATGAATTTCATAGTGCAATGAAAACACTGAACAATTAGAGACTATTACATCAAAACAATAAAACCTGATTCTACAGAACACATAAAAAGTATATTGTTAACCCAATATGTAGCTTGTCTGTCCCTGACAGGTAAGTTTATCACAGCTTTTCTGAATTCACTTTGATATGTAATGTGGTAACCACTGATCACGGCCACAGCAGAAGCTGAGGAGCACGGTGTGAGAGCCTATATGATCTTCAGGTGGACAGTGAGTTAACGGCCCAAACTATTAATGCCACCGTTATTGGAGTGAGAAAGTGTCTGTGTATATCTTTATGTGTGTTTCTCCAATCAGTTTATTTATTTATTCAGCTAAAGAATCAGCAATGCTTTTAAAGGCCTGTTGAGCTAGCTCTGCCACTTGACACTGAATTATTATCTATATGGCAAGAAAGAGTAATCATTGTTTATATCCTGAAGTCTAGAGAAAAATCAAATATTCGTTCAAATCCTATTTTTGTCTTTACTATTTGTCTGATCTTAGAAATGTAAATAATTTTTTCTAAGCTTCTGTTTTCTTATCTACAGCATAATATTATCAATAGAATATTCATAGGCTTTTTAAGGAGATAAAACCTGCACCAAGTTACTATTAGTTAGCGAAATAAAAAATAACTTATTCATGCAAAAAAACATTCTTGGCATCTGCTGCGTACTGGGGCATGTTCTAAATACTGGATTAATAGAGGTAAACAAAGAAAAGCCCCTACCCTCTTTGAGCTCATATTCCAGTGATATTAATTGAGAATGGAAGATCACTGCTGTGGAAGTCAGGAGGCCTGAATTGGCATATGACCTCTTCCCAGTGACAAGACTCTCCTGAGCCTTCATTTCTTCCTCTGTAGAAGACTGGGCCTTTCCAGCATCACTGCCCTGTGTTCAGTGGGCTCTCCTGGACATGACCTTGTGGTTGGGGATGTGGCCATGGTTGATGGTGCTTTAGCCTCTCCTGCCACTTAGGTCCACAGCAGTTGGATTCCTGGACTTCTGGGGAATTCTGGTTACTGATTGACAGGAGGATCAGGGCTTTGATGTCTTACTCTAGCAGTCAGAAATAGCTTCACAGGTCATCATTCACATACTCTCCACCTTTCTCTGGAATTCTGTAAGCTGAGCAGCATTTATGAGCTACTTGGACAAGGCTAAGCTTCTATGTCAGGAAGACCAGAGGAGAAGGTGAGTGAAGGGTTGGTCTGTCTAGAATTAGGGCTTGTATGTGCCTGGAGAAGTTAATCAAAAACAAAAAAGAGAAAGAAAGAAAAAAACTAAAACTATAACAAAGAAAGCACAGTAAGATAAAGGAAAAGAAAAGAAGGTGAAATAAAAGTTAGAATGTTAGTGAGAGGCCTGGTAGAAAAAAGGCATGTGAGGACTTTTTTTTTCCAGTAAAAGATCTATTTGTAAGAGGCAGGCAAAGTTAAATAGGGCCAAGAGGAATAATGAGGAAACTCTCACTTCTTAGTCTGAAGGAGCAGAGAGCAAGGACTACAACACAAGGAGTATGCTGCTATAAGAGAAAAGTCCCCAACAACAGCTGTGGCCTTCAGTGGCAGAACACAGCCACTGCCAACCCACAGTGCCAGCAGAGGGAGGCTGAATTCTCCCTCCTCCCACACCATTTTTTTTTTTTAGTAGAGACTGGGTTTCACTGTGTTAGCCAGGATGGTCTCAACCTCCTGACCTCATGATCCGCCCGCCTCGGCCTCCCAAAGTGCTGAGATTACAGGCGTGAGCCACTGCACCTGGCCCCTGGGTGCATCCCACTGGGTGAGACTAGTAAAAACTCTAGTGGCTAAGAAGACCTGGTTGATACAGAAGTCAGAAAAGAGCAAAAAGGGTGGAGCGGCTCATTTAGAATCTCCAACTCACCCAGTTTGGCTCATCACTTCACAATTCCATGTCTTTGCTTCTTATTGAAACTATGAGACAAATTTCCTCAAAAAGATACTGAGAGGAAGTCAAGGACCAGAAAGACATAACCACTAGAAAGAGCTGCACAGTTCTAGGTATATTTGATTCTATTTTTTTTCTTTAATTTCCACCAGGTGCAATCACCAGTACTGCCTCAATTTACTTCAGGATTTTGGAGGGCACCCACCTTCCCCCTTGTCTCCTCACACAATGACCCTGGGATCCCTGGGAAACAGCAGCAGCAGCGTTTCTGCTACCTTCCTGCTGAGTGGCATCCCTGGGCTGGAGCGCATGCACATCTGGATCTCCATCCCACTGTGCTTCATGTATCTGGTTTCCATCCCGGGCAACTGCACAATTCTTTTTATCATTAAAACAGAGCGCTCACTTCATGAACCTATGTATCTCTTCCTGTCCATGCTGGCTCTGATTGACCTGGGTCTCTCCCTTTGCACTCTCCCTACAGTCCTGGGCATCTTTTGGGTTGGAGCACGAGAAATTAGCCATGATGCCTGCTTTGCTCAGCTCTTTTTCATTCACTGCTTCTCCTTCCTCGAGTCCTCTGTGCTACTGTCTATGGCCTTTGACCGCTTTGTGGCTATCTGCCACCCCTTGCACTATGTTTCCATTCTCACCAACACAGTCATTGGCAGGATTGGCCTGGTCTCTCTGGGTCGTAGTGTAGCACTCATTTTTCCATTACCTTTTATGCTCAAAAGATTCCCCTATTGTGGCTCCCCAGTTCTCTCACATTCTTATTGTCTCCACCAAGAAGTGATGAAATTGGCCTGTGCCGACATGAAGGCCAACAGCATCTACGGCATGTTTGTCATCGTCTCTACAGTGGGTATAGACTCACTGCTCATCCTCTTCTCTTATGCTCTGATCCTGCGCACCGTGCTGTCCATCGCCTCCAGGGCTGAGAGATTCAAGGCCCTTAACACCTGTGTTTCCCACATCTGTGCTGTGCTGCTCTTCTACACTCCCATGATTGGCCTCTCTGTCATCCATCGCTTTGGAAAGCAGGCACCCCACCTGGTCCAGGTGGTCATGGGTTTCATGTATCTTCTCTTTCCTCCTGTGATGAATCCCATTGTCTACAGTGTGAAGACCAAACAGATCCGGGATCGAGTGACGCATGCCTTTTGTTACTAACTGTGTCTAGTGTTAGAGCCACTGTCTCCTGAAACGTGCCCTTGTTTGCCTATCCTTTATAATTTCTAACATGCATAAAATAAAGGAGACATTTACTTACTCAACAAACATGTACAGGGATGAGTTACAGTCCTTACAGAACCCTCACTCTGTTGTGGCCAGGGCAGGGGGGGGTAAAATGTAATATGATGTGGTAAATTTTATTTTCTAAAAATAGCCACAGCAATAATTCTAAACCCACATGCTCTTCCAGGAACTTGCTACTCCTCATAAAGAGATAGGGTCTACTTCTTCTCCCCTTGAAACTGGATAGAATTTGTAAATGCCTCATGAATTGAGTATTGTGGAAATAGCCCATGTATCTTCTCTCTCTCTCTCTCTTCCACCTCCATTCCACCACTGTTTCTGTCTGTTTCACTCAACGCTTGTTTTTGAAACCCAGCCCCTATTCTAAGAGGAAGCCCAGGCGACGTGGAGAAGGCCCATGTAGGTGTTCCATCCAGTAGGCTCAGCCAAGGTCTCACTCAGCTAAGGCTGAGACCTTAGCTGAGTCAGTGTTAACCACCAATGAGTAGAGAATCCTCAGATAGTTCCATTCCCCAACCTTCCAGCCTCTCCAATTGGCATCTGGTAAAGCAATCAATTGTTCTCTGACTCAGCCAAAATTTCAGTTTTGTAAACAAAATAAATATTTTTAAGACACTAAATTTTGGGAAGATTCGTTATACAATCACATGTTAATTGTATTCTTCAAAGAAAAAAGAAATTGGTTTGGGAGTTGTCTTCCCCTAGCTGGGGGAAGGGAGCATCAGAAAAGTTTTCCCTGAGTTGACACAGTAATAGCCTTAAGGGAAATGTAGGCATTAGGCAGTCAAAAACTGTAAGAGGAAGGAGACAAAAATATGTTCCAGTCCAAAGGAACAGCATGTGCAAAGCTGAAGCAGAAGTGAGAGAGAGGACAGTGTATTCTGAGAATTATCTGAAGTGTTGTTTTTGTTGCCATTTTTATTCTCTAGAATGTCAGGAAGGTTTAAGAAAAATGAGGTGAAGTGGAAACAGATTGAGGTACTGACTGTATCAGAAAGAGATTATAAGCCAAGGAACCAAGGATAGTTTGTTATGCCCTTTTATATGTTGTATTGTTATTGTACCCCCAAGACATTCTAGATAAAAGTTATATTTTGAGTAATACATGTCAATATAGTATTTGCAGTTTGGGCTTGGAGGTAACTGTGAGGAAAGCAAGCTTGAATGTGATATTGCCAAGGGGAGCTTCGAACACCTAGAGAGAAGCATGAGAATGTCATGTTCCTGCATGGTTTTAGTGCAGATTAAGAAAGGGTGTGGCTGAACACAATGTCTTCTACTATGAAGTGTATGTGGACCAGTTCTCACCTGAGGTTGGTCTCTTCCAAGGCAATCTAGTACACCTGACATTTAACATTGGATATGCCTGTCCCTGCTCCCAACACCAGTGTCCCCTCCTGTTTGGCATGAGAACACTGTTTCTGCAATGATATCATCAACCCCAAAATAATCAAAAGGATCAGAACCCAGTTTAAAAGAGCTTATTTAGCCACAAAGTTGAGAATGACCATTTGAGTAACACAGACCCCGAAGGAATGGGGTCATTGCTCTGAAGCTGAAAAGTTAAGGATTTGCTTATGCACGTGGAAAGCAAATAAATTTAAGAGGACTACAACATTTTCCACACTAAGGCTGACTTGTGAGTTATAGTAATTTGAATAGTTACAGCTTGTTTTTTTTTTCTTTTCCAATTTGAAAGAGTATGTTTAACATTCCAGGCTAGACAACATGATAGTCCTGAGGTTTTTGTGTAAGAGAAGTGAGACGTAAGTTAATCTAAAAATGAAGATCAACAGTGGAGTGGGAAAAGGTCTTCTCTAGCATTCTATAGTTTTTTACATTTTAAAAAACAATGTAATTAAAGAAAAGGAAAATTACAATAAGAGAAACAAAGATTACAGCTGCCTAGGTTATAGCTGCCTGTTACGTAACTCAGATCCCATAATCACATTTTTTAAGGCTCAATATTCCAACATCTTTCATTATGAATTTCTTATTTTTACAATGTGTATATGTGAATTGTGTGTATTAACATGCAAAAGGCCTATGATTAGTTGTACACAGCAAATTGAATAAAATATGCCTGTGAGTGTCATGAGTGGTATGTGTCTTTCATGCTTGTGTATACAGAAAACTTCAGAAAAAAAGACATTAAACCACTGAAAATTTTGAGGCATGTATACAGCTTCACAGCTGGATTCTCTCTGTGATGTGCACTTGTAATTTCAGTCCCCATAAAGGAGTTATGTTCTCTTATGTCTGGTGATAAATTAAAAGTTATTCCGATATAGTAGCAAGTATACTAAACTTGGGGTCAGGTATAGAAAGTTCTACTTCCTTACTGTGTGACTTGGACAAATTATTTTATTTATCTGAGATCAATTTTATTTTAAAAAGAACTAAAAATGTCTACCCCACAAGGCTGTCTGTGCAATTTAGACATATCATATATGTAAAACTTTCTAATATAATTCTTAGCATGTTCTTTTATTCACAATAAACTTTAGTTACTTTAATTCCTAACATAAAACATAAACATAATAACACAGACGAAAAACCACAAAGAAGAATGTGTGTTAAATAAATGAGGGATCCCAGAAACCACCCTGAGGGGAAGGAGGGCCACAGGTGGATTTCTAGAGCGGTTGCCTTAGTTAAGGCTTGAAGTGCTTATAAGCAGAAGTTAGTTGGGTAAAAAAAAGTTGTTGAGTGTTCTTCTCTCTCTAAGCACACATTATAGGAATATAGTGGGCAAAAGGATAACAAAACCTGTTCTCCTGACTTACATTTTGGTGGTAGAGACAGACAACAGCACAGTAAATGATTAACTATTTCATAAACTGCAAAGTACTCTGAAGGAAACATAGTGGGGTAATGGGTTGAGAGCGATTGAATGGGTGAGCAGGGAAGGCCTCTATAAAGAGGGGCTTTTCTGAACAAAATTGTGAACAATATGATGGAGTTAGATATTTGAAAAATAAAACTTGAGGGAAGAACATTGCAGAATGGCAGAACAAGTATAGCAGTCCTGAAGTAGAAATGAACCTGAGTGTTCTAGGAACAGCAAGAGGACCGGTGTGACTGGAGCGAAGTAAGCTGGAAGCTACATTAATTGGTGAATTGAAGATGGTTGAGAGAGAGGCTGACATTTATGCATTTATTCAGTATTCAACACTCACTGATCAATTTCTGTAAAAATTAATAGGAATAAATTGATGAACAAGACACATTTCCCACCCTCAAGGATTTGTCTAGTGGGGATGTCTGGCACATTTTGCAACTTGGGATGATCTACTGATTCCTGAAAGTCAGCCAGAAGGTATCCAGGTGAAATTAAGGAAAAATAGCATCCTAAGCAAAGCAAATATTCTGAGAAAAAGCTGAGAGATAACAAAGTCCATTATTTGCTGAAATCATTATTTGTCATTTCTTGATGACAAAGACCATTATAAATAATTCTTGTCAAGAATATTCAAGTGGTAAACTGAGAGAAGGAGGGTGTCTCAAAATGCAGTCAGTAATACCCAGAGATCAGAATTTGCAGTGACTGCAGGTTTCGTATTTATCCAACCAATATCTATTGAGTACCTCTGGCCTTTAGCAGAGAAGACAGTTACATTTCAGGAGACATTACAGTTTTTACTTTAGGCCTGGCATGATTGTAGCAGGAGGAAAGGAACTGCCTGAAGGTGTGATTATATGTTTCAATTGGATATGATTGACATATTATAATTTTAGGACTCTGTCCTCAGGGAATACTCAAGATTTTGAGCTTAGGTAATGAGCAGTTTTTTTTTTATTCCATGATGGTCACTCATGCATTTACAAATTGACCAATAGATATTTATTGGGCCCTTCTTTGTCCAAATATGTGCCAAGTACTAGAGGCACAGAAAAACTAAGATGTGCAGACATATGTATCCTATGGAGTTTACAATTTGGCAGAGATGTAAGCAATCTTTAAACAATTAAAGGCTCATATTTATTTTAAATTATGGTGTAGATATCAGTGTATAAGAAAGGGAATAAAATTGAGGTATAAGTTTGTTGTACTTGGAGCAAAAAGTGTCAGCAAAGATGAATACAGTACATCTAGCAATGTCCTGCTAAAGAAATAAATAGATAAAGAGAAGTTGAGAAAATGTATTTGTGGTAGGCAGAGTGCACCCTCTCCTAATGATTTCAACATTATAACCCCTGAAACTTGTAAATATATTACTTTACATAGAAAATGATACTTTGCAGACTGATTAAGATTCAAAACCTTAACATAGGCAGAATATCCAAGATTATCCAGGGGAACCCAGTCTAATTATATGAATCCTTAGAAGTAGAGACTCCTTACTGGCCATGGTCAGAGATGAGACTATAGAATAAAGTCACAGGAAGATGCAATGTTCCTGGCTTTGAAGATGAAAGAGGGGATCTATGAGGCAAGAATTATGGGTTACCTCTAGACACCAGAAAATGCACGAAAACAGATTTTCCTCTGTGTCTCCAGAAAGGAATGTAGGCTTGCTAACATCTTGATTTTAGCTCAATGAAGCCCATGTCAGAACTGCAGCTTACAGAATTATAAAACAATACATTTGTATTGTTTTAAGCCACTAAGTTTTTAATAATTTGTTATGCAGAAATAGAAAATGAATGCAGTTTTTCTGACCAAAAAAAATACACCAAAAACCGAGGTTTGGATATAAGTAACATGATGTCTTTATGTTACTCTGTTGAAGCGTAAGACAGAGAATGTTGACAAAGAATGCAGTAGAGAAAAGCAGGTACTGAATGATGGAAAAGGCCTTGTGCATATACAGAGCCTTGCCATTATCTTGTAAGTTACTGCACAGCTACTGAAGCATTTTAGCTGTGGTTAAATTTACATTTTAGAAAGATCTTTCAAATAGCTATGACCAGAGAACCCAGGGGAAGTTTTAAATGTGAACTAAAATAACAGCAGTGGAAAATCATGGGTAAAAAAGCATATTAGAGAGACTTTAGCAAGAGAGGATCTTCACAGTTTGATAACCAAACTTTGTTTAAAATATGTATTTACTTCCATGTCTATTTCCAAGGATCATTGTCTAAGAGGGCCACGGCTGCTTTCCTAGTCATGACAGATAAGCATCCCCGTTTCCTTTTTCTAATTCTCTGTAGTTGCCTGTTTTTGAATATTCAGTCACCTATGCCAAATCCTCAAGACAAAATTCAAACCCATCATTCAAGTCCCCAGTTCCTTTGAAAAGCTTTTCTTTTCTGTTTACAACACTCTTACCTTAGAATCCCAGAGAGATTGCCATATCAATCTTGTTTGCCCCCCTTCAAATTGTATTTTCAACTGTATACTCTTTTGATTTTTCCATCATGTATTTCCTCTATACATGAGAAAAAAAGTTTAAAATATAAATTTTAGTGAAAATTATTGTGGTACCAAATGTCGTGTCCTGCAGGAATCAATTTTTAAGAACATATTAGAGGGGCTGATTTTTTTTAAGGCGCAGGGAAAGACTAAATCACAGAAAAAAACTAAACAGCAAAACCATAGGGGGTTTAAAATTATCTTTTAGTCACTTAGTTAAATTTGTGAATTTTCCATAATTTACATGTTGGTTTTATAACAGAAAAATAACAACAGCAGCTAAATGATCTTGTTCTCTCCCTGCCTATTCTGAGTCATCACTTCACAGCAGGATTATTGTGCTTTCTCCTGTTAATCTTCCTTCCTCATCTCTCCCAAATTCAATCCATGTTTACAGGCACGCTCTTCTTAAAATGAAATTTATCATGTAGAGAAGAAATTGGCATTCCAACACCTCCTGAATTTAGACTTTTCAAAGCTTTTTTTAGGTGCTCCAAAATCTGGTTCACTTATTTTATCCAAAATATCACTTGCTATCTGTTAAATTTCACTTTCTATTGTAATCAGATCAGCATCCTTCATAGCTATTTTACCTTTCCTTGACAGTATGAGATTAGACTTTGTATATCATCTGTATTTTTAATAGATACTAACTGAATGGTAATCTCAATCTGCCCAAATTGTATTCATTCTTTATGGGTTGACTCAAATCCAGCTGCTCCATCACAGAAGTATTTTCCTTCAACTTCCCTTAAAATGTTAATTAAACCTCTATATCTTATATATCTCTT